>NW_003315964.2:0-170222 GCF_000001405.40 Homo sapiens | reverse complement strand
TCATACTGGAGAGAAACCCTACACATGTGAAGAATGTGGCAAAGCCTTTAACCAGTTCTCAAACCTTACTACACATAAGAGAATCCATACTGCAGAGAAATTCTATAAATGTACAGAATGTGGTGAAGCTTTTAGCCGGTCCTCAAACCTTACTAAACATAAGAAAATTCATACTGAAAAGAAACCCTACAAATGTGAAGAATGTGGCAAAGCTTTTAAGTGGTCCTCAAAGCTTACTGAACATAAGTTAACTCATACTGGAGAGAAACCCTACAAATGTGAAGAATGTGGCAAAGCCTTTAACTGGCCCTCAACCCTTACTAAACATAACAGAATTCATACTGGAGAGAAACCCTACAAATGTGAAGTATGTGGCAAAGCCTTTAACCAGTTCTCAAACCTTACTACACATAAGAGAATTCATACTGCAGAAAAACCGTACAAATGTGAAGAATGTGGCAAAGCTTTTAGCCGGTCCTCAAACCTTACTAAACATAAGAAAATTCACATTGAAAAGAAACCCTACAAATGTGAAGAATGTGGCAAAGCTTTTAAGTGGTCCTCAAAGCTTACTGAACATAAGATAACTCATACTGGAGAGAAACCCTACAAATGTGAAGAATGTGGCAAAGCTTTTAACCATTTCTCAATCCTTACCAAACATAAGAGGATTCATACTGGAGAGAAACCCTACAAGTGTGAAGAATGTGGCAAAGCTTTTACCCAATCCTCAAACCTTACTACACATAAGAAAATTCATACTGGAGAGAAATTCTACAAATGTGAAGAATGTGGCAAAGCTTTTACCCAATCTTCAAACCTTACTACACATAAAAAAATTCATACTGGAGGAAAACCCTACAAATGTGAAGAATGTGGCAAAGCTTTTAACCAGTTCTCAACTCTTACTAAACATAAGATAATTCACACTGAGGAGAAACCCTACAAATGTGAAGAATGTGGCAAAGCCTTTAAGTGGTCCTCAACCCTTACTAAACATAAGATAATTCATACTGGAGAGAAACCCTACAAATGTGAAGAATGTGGCAAAGCTTTTAAACTGTCCTCAACCCTTTCTACACATAAGATTATTCATACTGGAGAGAAACCCTACAAATGTGAAAAATGTGGCAAAGCTTTTAACCGATCCTCAAACCTTATTGAACATAAGAAAATTCATACTGGAGAGCAACCCTACAAATGTGAAGAATGTGGCAAAGCATTTAACTATTCCTCACACCTTAATACACATAAGAGAATTCATACTAAAGAGCAACCCTACAAATGTAAAGAATGTGGCAAAGCTTTCAACCAATATTCAAACCTTACTACACATAACAAAATTCATACTGGAGAGAAACTCTACAAACCTGAAGATGTGACAGTGATTTTGACAACACCTCAAACTTTTTCAAACATAAAATAAATTATACTGGTGAGAAATTCTAGAAATGTAAAGAATGTGATAAAGGCTTTACATGGTTGTCACACTTGATTGTAGGTAAGATAATTTACATTGGAGTAAACTTCTACAAGTGTGAAGAATGTGGCAAAACTTTTAATTAATGCTCGTACCTTATTGCACAGGAAAGAATTTTTACTTGGAAAAAGGTATATACACAAAGAATGTGGAAAAGCCATTAATATGTGCTCATATCTTACTCAACATCAGAGAGTCTGTACTTAATAAAACCATTATAGATGCAACTAGTGTCAAAAGATCTTTCAGAAAATAAAAGCCTTTAAAGTGAAGAAGATAATTCATTCTGAAGACAAACATTACAAATATTAAGAGGGTTGTAGTACCATTACTTGCATCACAGATCTTATTGTACACATTTTGTACTAAAGAAAACCCTGAAGCAGTTGCTCAAATACTGTTCAACATCAGAAAATTTATATTGGAAAAAACCCCTGGAAAATGTAATAAATTTGTAAAAACAGTTTTGAAAAACTACAGCTTATAAAACATGAGGGTCTATAATGCTTGGTTGATAGTACAAAGTTTATTCAACATCAGGGAATTTATATTGGAGAAAAACCCTACAAATGTAATCAGTTTGGAAAAACATTTTTAAAAAAACCACAGCATAGAAAACACCACAGGGTTCATACTAAAATATGTTTTTGCAGATGCAGTAAAAATGAAAAAAATTTAATCCGAAATTAAGTTTATGTAAATATCTGAGAATTCACAGTAGAAATATCTAAGGCGCGGACACTTCAGACATTACACTAAATCAGTGCTAAGTACAGAAAACAACACAAAATAAAACTTGGTGGATAAATTATTTGTATATAACATTAAAAGAAGTAGAAGATTTTCAGTTATAATTACAATTAAAGTATACTTTTATCTTGAAAAAATTACTGATTTTTAAATTAGTGAATAATGATGTAATTAAACTCTCAAATAACTTTATGCTCTTTTTTCATTCCTGCTATATTCACATGTGAAAGCATGTGACCAATTGTTGCTGCACCAAAGATATGAGAGATTCTTTTATTAGGTGGGCATTATTTAAAACATTTTTTATGGAACAGTAAGGATATTAAAGTGTAAGATGCAGCCAGGCATGGTGGCTCATGCCTATAATCCCAGCACTTTGGGAGGCTGAGGCCGGTGGATCACCTGAGGTCAGGAGTTTGAGACCAGCCTGACCAACATGGTGAAACCCTGTCTTTACTAAAAATACAAAAATTTACCAGGCACCTATAATCCCAGCTACTTCAAAGGCTGAAGCAGGAGAATCACTTGAACCTGGAAAGTGGAGGTCTCAGTGAGCCGAAATCATACCATTGCACTCCAACCTGGGCAACAAAAGTCAAACTCCATCTCAAAAAGAAAAAAAAAAAAAAAAAAGATGCGTGATGAAAATGTAACTGGAGAGGCTCTTTGTGGTTAACTTATAAAGGAGTGATGCAGGAGATAGGTTTTCAGAGTAATATTCTTCTGCATTATAGTGACAAAAGTTTTTTATTTTAGTTAAAATTGGTTAAATTAGTAAGTCATTTTACTTATTGTAATTTTATGTAATTAAATGTACATTTTTAAATTTTTAGATTACATGTAAATATAACTTTTAAAAAAATGTGTTAAGACCATTGTACATTCAATGAAGCATTATTATGCTTCTAACTTTAACCTATTTCACCTTACTCAAGAGTGTATGTAAAAGATGGTAACAATATACTATTTGGTAACATAATGGACTAACATTTCTATTAATCTATTTCACCAGTGGCTTTCAACTGCAAATAAGTTAAAGAATATTTTTCTATAGGTTAAATATTCTTTTTTGTCTTATTTAAACTTACTGTTCTTAATTTCTGTGGGTACATAGTATGATTTTAATTACCTTATTTTATTCTTTGTGCTATTCATAATTTTTTTTGTTTGTTTGGTTTTTTTTTTTGAGACAGAGTCTTGCTCTCGCCCAGGCTGGAGTGCAGTGGCGCGATCTTGGCTCACTGCAAGCTCCGCCTCCCAGGTTCACTCCATTCTCCTGCCTCAGCCTCCCAAGTAGCTGGGACCACAGGCGCCCACTACTTGTTTGGGTTTTTTTTTGGAGATGGAGTCTCGCTCTGTCACCCAGGCTGGAGTACAGTGGCATGATCTTGGCTCACTGCAACCCCCACCTCCCCGGTTCAAGTGATTCTCCTGCCTCAGCCTCCCGAATAGCTGGGATTACAGGCGTCCACCATCACACCAGGCTAATTTTTGTATTTTTAGTAGAGATGGAGTTTCACCATGTTGGCCAGGATGGTCTCGATCTTCTGACCTCATGATCTGCCTGCCTCGGCCTCCCAGAGTTCTGGGACCACAGGCATGAGCCACTGCACCTGGCCAAATGTGTATATATTTATGCAATATATAACATGTTTTGATACAGGCATATAATATGTATTAGTCACATCAGGATAAAGTATCTATTACCTTCAGCATTTATCCTTTGTATTACAAGCCAATTCTACACTTCATTATTTTAATGTACAATTAAATTGTTATTGACTACAGGGTCATTTTAATTATAAAAATTATATAGAAGTATAAATAAAGTCCATACATTCCTGAGTCATGAATAAACATTGGTATATATTTTTCTTTGACTATGTGGCCGCTCTGCCTGAAACACATACAGAGTTTTAGTTTTGACTTACATAGGGTTAAATATACACATACATTACTCTAAAGATAAACCTTAGGTGTAAGAAAATTATGGAGTAAGTAACTGTTCTTGTATGAGTGTCTACCTATTTTAGGAAGAAAAAATCAATATTGAAGCAAAACAAGTAATTTTAATAAGGTGACTAATTTACTAGAAAACTAAAAACCTCAAAAATGCTGAAAGGAAATCTATACTGTCTGCTTTCTATTGAATTCATTACTGTAAGATCTTATGGTTTATGGTTCAGAATCTCCCCATGCAAACTTTTTTTTTACTTGCTTGGTACTCATGCTAGACCCATAATTTTCTTTTTTATTATTTTTTCTTTTATAGTTTATGAGGTATTATGTAAGCTCACTGGGGATTATAAGAATGATTTTTATGAAATTTAGTTGTGCACACAAAATAATTTTTAGGTGCAATTCCACAATTAGTGTTTTAAGTTATATTGAGTTAGGATATTCGATTTTGTTTATTTAATTGGAGACTTCTATATAAACCTACTTTAGCTATTGTTCATTTCACTTTCTATAATTGACATATGTAAATTTATTGAGCTAATTAGTTCAGGTAAATACTAGGGAGGCTTCATAAGTTCTGAAGTTTTTTTGTTCTGTTTTGTTTTGAGACAGAGTCTTGCTCTGTCACCCAGACTGGAGTGCAGTGGCATGATCTCGGCTCACTGCAACCTCTGCCTCCCAGGTTCAAGCAATTCTCCTGCCTCAGCCTCCTGAGTAGCTACAGGCACACACTACCATGCCCAGCTAATTTTCTGTTTTGTATTTTTAGTAGAGACAAGGTTTCACCATGTTAGCCAGGATGGTCTCCATCTCCTGACCTTGTGATGTGCTCACCTCAGCCTCTCAAAGTGCTAGGATTACAGGCATGAGCCACTGCGCCTGGCCTTATGAGGATGTTTCTATACATAAATATAGTGAACAAGCATGATGGTGCTTGCTGTGTAACAGATTGTCCATAATAAGCCAAAAACATTTCTGCTGGAGTTAGTTGGTAGCTTCAAGTCAGAGACGGAAAATATCAGTGATGAAATAATATTGATTCTTACTGTGGAGAGAACATTTTTCTTATCTTTAGTAAAAATACAAAAATTAGCTGGCCGTGGTGGCATGCACCTGTAATCCCAGCTACTCAGGAGGCTGAGGCAGGAGAATCACTTGAACCCCAGAGGGAGAGGTTGCAGTGAGCCGAGATCACGCCATTGCACTCCAGCCTGGGCGACAGTGAGGCTTCATCTCAAAAAAAACAACTGTAGTTTTGTAAGCATCCTCAAAGAAATCTACACCTGTTTCCCAAACACTTGCAATGCAAAGTTAAATTTCACAGAATCTTTTCACAAGAGTGGGTAGACAGCTGTTTTCTTCAAACTGAGACCTGGACTATAAGGTCTTGATTCTAGCAGATCTGACAGGACTACCTACAAACCTGCATGCAGGGCTGTGTGAGTGGCTGCTGGAGCACATTGGTGGGCTGAGAAGGGCCATGGAGACATTTATGATCACCAGACGCCTTCACAGCTGCATTATGCAAATGCTGGGCTTCACTTCCTAATGAGTTCTAGCAGACTAGTGTTTCCACCAGTCCCTGACCCATGCCTTCTGAATCTCCCTTGCCCAGGGTCCTCACAGCTGTCCACTATGTATGTCTCAGTCTCTGCTGATAGAGGCCACCTAAAATGAGAGCAGAATAGGCCTCAGAAAAAGCACCTAACAACCCTACTATAAGTATTTCAAAGAAAACCATTCAGATTTTCTCCAAGGCTTGTCTGTTGCTGCTTACTGTTCGTGAGAATGCTTTCTAAGCAGCAATAGATTTGAGAATGTCATTAGCCACTACTGTTTGTTTTCCTTCTCATGTCCCGCATTAACCAAAACCAAAATGAAACCAACAAAAAGCCTTCCAGGATATAGCTTTTGTATATAGGCCTAGCTGGCTAGCAGTAACATTTGGACTTTAAATTGAGTCTTGAATGATCTTCAGCGGTTACCCAGATAGCTCTTGGCATCAAACCCCTTGGCATCTCTTCCATTCCTTTTCCTATTCAAAATATTGAGGTTAAAATACATCAAAGTACAGAGGGAAAAAAATCTTAGGTCTTCTAAAAATAATTGTTTCATTTAGAAATCTGAATGATGGAGTGTTGGCAGAGGGCCACCAGAATTCAAAAGAGGTTGAGTTTAATCCTCCAGCCCAACTGTCCACATTTAGAAATGACAACATTCACGAACTAAGTCAATATAATTTGCACAGATCTTACCCAACAAACCCTAAGCTGCAAAAACAAACACTTGCATTTACACTTTTTTTTTTTTTTTTTTTTTGAGATGGAGTCTCACTCTGTTACCAGGTTGGAGTGCAATGGCACTATCTCGGCTCACTGCAACCTCTGCCTCCCGGGTTCAAGCAATTCTCCTGCCTCAGCCTCCTGGGCAGCTGGGACTACAGGTGCATGCCACCACACCCAGCTAATTTTTTGTATTTTTAGTAGAGACGGGGTTTCACCATGTTGGCCAGGATGGTCTCGATTTCTTGACCTCGTGATCCGCCCACCTCAGCCTCCCAAAGTGCTGAGATTACAGGCATGAGCCACCGCGCCCGGCCTGCATTTAAACTTTTCTAAAATGTCAAATTAGCATATTCTTTCCTCAGTGTAAAGTTTTAAGAAGCTTTAATCTGCCTTTATGAATTACCCTTTCAAAAATATATTTAAATGCTAGGAAAAGTTAACTTTATTCTCTACTCACAAATTTCTCTTACTTTACAGACAAATGTGGTTATATACATTGTTTAAAAACGCTTTTCTACTAATGACACTTCATGTGTAGATCTACACAAATGCTGTTTTTATTCTTCTGGGAATAAAAAGAGCTGTCCCAAGAACTAATAAAAGGATAAAAATATCTTTGCGGCTGGGTGCGGTGGCTCACGCCTGTAATCCCAGCACTTTGGGAAGGTGAGGCTGGCGGACCACGAGGTCAAGAGATGGAGATCATCCTGGCCAACATGGTGAAATGCCGTCTCTACTAAAAATACAAAAATTAGCTGGGTGTGGTGGTGCGCACCTGTAGTCCCAGCTGCTCAGGAGGTTCAGGGAGGAGAATCGCTTGAACCCTGGAGGCTGAGGTTGCAGTGAGCCGAGATTGCCCCACTGCACTCCAGCCTGGTGACAGAGTGAGACTCAGTCTCAAAAAAAAAAAAAAAAATCTTTACTATTTGCCCCTACTTGCTCAGCCATTTTTTTTTTGTTTGGGGTCTGGTGTTTGTTCTTTTCCCTCCATTTTGTTTTTTTGAGACAGTGCACTGGTAGAAATTGGCACTGATGGGCCAGGTGTGGTGGCTCATGCCTGTAACGGCACTTTGGGAGGCCAAGGCAGGCAGTTCACTTGAAGTCAGGAGTTTGAGACCAACCTGACCAGCATCGTGAAACCCTGCCTCTACTAAAAATACAAAAATTAGCTGGGCGTGGTGACATATGCCTGTCATCCCAGTTACTCAGGAGGCTGAGGCAGGAGAATCCCTTGAGCCCAGAAGGTGGAGGTAGCAGTGGCCAAGATCGCGCCATTGCACTCCAGCCTGGGTGACAGAGTGAGACTCCGTCTCAAAAAAAAAAAAAAGAAAAAAGAAACTGGCACTTATGGTTGGCTAACCTTTACGCTTCTTTGGAGCAGTGGAGAATTTTTAGCCCCCTGTTGAGGCAAATGTTGAAAAGTCTGACCTTGTTCTCAGGTGCTCCAGCTTCTTATTTACAGTAGAGCTGCCATGCCTGTAAAAGCCCATGGGCCAGGTCATAAGGTGGACTTTACTGTGAAGCACAGGGAGCACCTCATTCCTCACCCTTATCCTTGTGCAGAATGTGCTTGCAGGACCTGGAGAACAGGATGGTCCACACGATCCAGAAGAAGTGCTGAACACCAGATGCAGTGCTTTGAAGGTTATGTCCAGGGTCAGAAACTAGAATCAGTAGGCCAAGCAGCTGGCACTGACCAAAAGAAGGGCCTAGGCTAGGCTGCTGGCCACTGAGGCTGGGTTGCAATGCTGGGACAGGTTGGAGATGTCAAGTCCAAGAACATCCAAAACCTCTTACTAGACTCTCCACAATGTCTGTAGAAACATATGTACTCCCAACACAAACTTCTTGGTGAGCCAGGTCAAGATCTTTTGAGCAGCAGATATTGCCTTTTCACAACAGGCTATGGATGCTCCAGCAAAAGGTGTCGACTATGCCAGTGTGGCTGTTCTCAGTTCCCCAGTGACCCCATGTTTCCTGCACTCCTGAGGCCAGCAGCTCAAGCAGCAGCAGTAGCAACAGCAGGAGAGGCCAGCTCAGGCCCCGCACCTGCGGTCTGCCTGAGGCTCATGTGCCCATGCCAGCAGGGGGGATGTGATGACATAGTGCAGGATGAGGGCTACACACAGGGCTGGGTTGCCATGGGCTCAACAGGAGCAGCATTGAAATGATCAAGGGCTGCATACCACACCTTTGTCTGCTACTGCTGCCACCACCTATAATTTATAGGTAAACACCTTTTAGGAGGCACATATAATCATTTAGAAAGATAAAAACTCCCTCCTGCTACTTTTTTTTCTCCTTCTTTTCCCGTGCCAGACTTTTGGCTAACATCTACAAACATATTAGATGGCAGCCATATAAATTTTATTTTAATTATAATGCTTTCAAAATTAATAAATGAGTAAGTATAAAATAAAATCTTAACTACTGTATCAGCAAAAGAAAATGAAACTCATATTACAATTAAAGTGAAGAAAGTTGATGGGCTGTATATATTGACTGGTAAAAGTTTTAGATACCAAAAGTTTCACAGGCAATAGAATATCCAATTACCCAGTTAGAGCAGGTAGTCAGATAGTGATGAGTTGGGTAAGGTAGAGGCCCTGGGAATGTGCCCCAGGAATGTCAAGTGATTATCAGGTGGTCACCTCAGGATTGATAAGTGGTCTCAGCTGGTGACAAGTAGGGGCACCCTTCTAACAAATAGAAAACATTTTGAGTGCTTGGGCAACAACTTAATAAAATCTCAAAAATTTGGCAAGACCATCCAAGCATGGACAGTGAGAGGCAAAATAGTGGAGTTTAACCAATATATGCCTTTCTCTGGAGGTGCTCAACTGGTAAAAATAATATCTCCAATAGAGCAAGCATAGAACCTCAGAACACTCATGAAGCATGCAGACGACTTCCCTACTGCTGGCAAGTACCGCACAAGCAACAGTGAGGCATTAATCATGCCAAAGGGACCAGGGGAGGAGTCCATAATACTAGAAAATAAGTGAATGTGTAAGAAACTGGAGCCAAGGGCCAGGTAGGGCACTTGATCTCTAAGTCACCCATTTGGTCCCTTTCCAAAGCTACTTTGCTTTCTTTCAATAAAGTCCAACTTTTGCTTCAAATTTGCTTTTTGTCTCTTGGCTAGATACTTTCTTTTGAGAAGACAAAAACCAAAATCACTGCAAACCTGTGCGGACTGGCCATTGGTAACACAGTGAGAAATGATTTATATTTTATTGCTGGTAACATATTAGTTATTAACTTCTCCATAATAAATAGAATTTCACATGTAAGGTTCTAATTATTATATGAAGCTTTTCATGTTTTCAGAAATAACTGTCAATTTTTCTCCAAGAATTAACAATTAATAGGTAGTCATTAACATTGCTGTGTTTATATCTCCTAAAATTATTAGATGGGAATAAGTTTTTATAAACAAAATCTTCTGGTGTGGAATGTTTTATCTTTTGCAGCTCATGCATCAACATATCCCAAAAGAACTGTGAATTTGGGAACTGCAAGAACTGAGGCCAGATTTGTTTACCATGGAAAATTTGGAGTGTTTTCCATTGCAGCTGACTCCATCATCATTTAACCTTCTGTTGAAGGACCAGTGAGAAGCTGTTAATTTCTTTTTTCTCTCCTTTTCTTTTCTTTTCTTTTCTTTTTTTTTTTTTTTTGAGACAGTCTCGCTCTGTTGCCCAGGCTGGAGTGCAGTTGCATGATCTCTGCTCACTGCAACCTCCATTTCCCAGGTTCAAGCAATTCTCCTGCCTCAGCCTCCCGAGCAGCTGGGAACAGGTGCATGTCACCATGCCCAGCTAATTTTTGTGTTTTTAGTAGAGACGGGGTTTCACCATATTAGCCAGGCTGGCCTCGAACTCCTGACCTTGTGATCCACCTTCCACTCCCTCCCAAAATGCTAGGATTACAGATGTTAGCCACCCTGCCTGGCCAGAATCTGTTAATTTCAAGCTGCAAAAGCCTTATTGTTTTAGGGTTAGCATTAAAAATGAGAAATGGGCAATTTTCTTGTATTCTTTGTATGTACTTAAGTGATAGTAAATAGATACTGAAACAAAGTGAAATGTTAATGGTGACTATTCAGAGCACCTGCTCTATTTTCTCTGGATACCCTGAGATTTCTGAATTTTTTTTAAGGTAGTTTTGATCAGTGATTAGTACCACCTTGCCAGAAATGTGCTCAGTTCAGAGATAAGTAAATAAGTTGGCTAAAAGCACAATTACTAAGTAGTGAGGTCACAGCTGGATCATTGCTGATTCCATTTTCTCTCTTCAGATATTTTCAAGGCTTCATACTGTGTTACAGTGTAACTAAGAACATATAATTTGAAAACAACTTGTTTTTCATTTGTTTCTAGAAGTTATACTTCAATATTGGAGCATGGTACAACAATTTGAAAGACATTATTAGCCAATTTAATCTGAATTTGGCTAGAAACACCTAGAAAGCTCTAAGTACTGGATTTGAACCCCCTTTTTTTTTTGAGACAGAGTCTCGCTCTGTCGCCAGGCTGGAGTGCAATGGCGCAATCTCTGCTCACTGCAACCTCCGACTCCATGGTTCAAGCTATTCTCCTGCCTCAGCCTCCTGAGTAGCTGGGATTATAAGCACCTGCCACCACGCCCAGCTAATTTTTGTATTTTTAGTAGAAACGGGGTTTCACCATGTTGGCCAGGATGGTCTCGATCTCCTGACCTCATGATCTGCCCGTCTCAGCCTCCCAAAGTGCTGGAATTACAGGCATGAGCCACCACACCTGGCAAAGGCCTTTCTATGATATAAAAACTTGAGAATATACAGATGACTTTTTGCAGAATTCTGACAATGCTCTGTTAATTCCAATATTACAGTTTGAAGTTTGACTAAGCTAACAATAACTTAAATAAACAAGATTTCTAGCCGAAGTAATAAAATGTAGGGGAAGTAATCTTAAAAATTATTAGCTACAAAAACTAAAGCCAAGGTAATTATTCTATAGACAGTATCATGTATCCTATTTAATAGAATATTTCTATTTGTATATTTCTTCAATTTGAAAACTTTCAAAGATGTCTACACTAAAAAAGCCAGAATAATCTCCAGATTTTCTATCCAAAGCTTTTTTGAAGATTTCAGAAATGGTTTGTGTGTTACTTTTCATTTATGTAGCAAAGAAGGAATCAAAAAACAAATTACAAAAAGTAGAACATTTAAAATAATATAAAAATGTTAAAAAGAATTAGAAAACTTTTCAAAAATAATTTGAGCTTTGCCTGCCTGAGGCCACACCTTACCTATTGAAATCAATATTTTCTGTATGTATGACTAAGTTCTTATAGCCTTAGGAAATTTTTGAAATTGCATCAAGAAAAATTTAAAATTATAGGCTTGGAGACTTTAATTCAGCTCAACAAATATTTGCTACATCTGCATAATGTTCCTAGCAATATATTCCAGGATTATATTTTCATCAAAATCTAAAAAAAATTTTAAGTTGATTTTTTATAGATTGGATTTTGGTTTAGAAATATTAGGTTTAATACTCTAGGTAAAGATACCTGAAATACTGTAACACTCAGTGAATAAACATTTTCATTGTCTTCTACTGTGTTCATAGACTTTATAATAAGAGATACCCCAAATAATATTTGTGGAAATAGGCCTAAATATATTATATAGTAAATATTGGTATTATGCTAAGCAGATATAATCAAGATAAATGAATTATATATATATATTTTTTGAGATGGAGTCTTGCTCTGCTGCACAGGCTGGCATGCAGTGGTGCAATCTCAACTCACTACAGCCTCTGCCTCCCGGGTTCAAGCAATACTCCTGCCTCAGCCTCCTGGGTAGCTGAGATTGCAGGCATATGCCCCCATGACCAGCTAATTTTTGTATTTTTAGTAGATATGGGGTTTCATGATGTTGGCCAGGCTGGTCTCGAACTCCTGACCTCAGGTGATCTGCCCACCTTGGCCTCCCAAAGTGTTGGGATTACAGGCATGAGCCACCACTCCAAGCCCAGGTCTTT
This sequence comes from Homo sapiens, assembly GCF_000001405.40. Lineage (NCBI taxonomy): Eukaryota > Metazoa > Chordata > Mammalia > Primates > Hominidae > Homo > Homo sapiens. Next base: position 157,710 of record NW_003315964.2, on the reverse strand, counting down.
TAAAATTAGCACTGTTTAGATTTGTACAAAATTCATAGGTTTGCAGTAACAAAAGTTTTAATATTTTTTTCTCCCAAAGTACTGGGATTGCAGACGTGAGCCACCGCACCCAGCCGAATTACAAATTTTTGTAAACAATATGATGAAATTAATCCCTAATCTCTACTTTTTAGGTACATAAACTAGCAGACATATAAAGTAGTTTTTCTTTGTTCCCCTCCTTATTAGTCCTTTCAGTTGATGGTAAAAAGCTGTATTTTCTTTTTTTCTAGTTGGCTTGCATGTGAATCAAGTTTTTCGTTGAGAAGCTTATTTTCCTGAGATTTTGTTATACTTGGTTTTAGAGCATCCAGTTCCACAGCATCTGTTACTTTTGGGACCCTGAATTTGCTAATTCTTGAGATTTATCCTTGAGAAAATTATTATTTTAATGAAGATAATAAATATGAAGAGTTTTTTTTGTAAAGTTTAGTTTTTCTCCTTCTTTCAGTTAATTTTTTCCTCATCTATTTGACCTTAAACCATATAAACTCTAAAAACTGCCCTTTAATACTGAGAGATACTTGGAAACCACTTTTCTGTTAACTGCCCTTCCCCACCATTCTAGCAATTCAGAATACTAATAACATTATTTTTACCTAAACTTGTAGTCAGCGAATGCTGTAAGGTGATTAATCAAATATTATTTACTAAACACCCAAGCAGTATACTATGATTTTATTACCTTTTTTTTTCTTTTTCTTCTTTTTGAGACGGAGTTTCACTTTGTCACCCAGGCTAGAGTACAGAGGCATGATCTGGGCTCACTGCAACCTCTGCTTGCCAAGTTCAAGCAATTCTCCTACCTCGGCTTCCCAAGTAGCTGGGATTACGGGTGTGGGCCACCACGCCTGGCTAATTCTTTTGTATTTTTAGTAGAGATGGGGTTTCACGATGTTGGTCAGGCTGGTCTCAAACTCCTGACCTCAAATGATCTGCCTACCTCAGCCTCCCAAAGTGCTGGGGTTATAGGCATGAGCCAGCACACCCGCCCTTTTATTACCTTTTTAATACAAATTTATTTCTTGAATTAAATAGTTATTTCACTTTATATTAGTTTGATTTTCTTTTTGCCTATTGCTAAGTTTTGCTAAAATACTACCACTTAGCTTACACTTGCCCCAAAATTGTTTTTCATTTGTTTATAGCACTTTAAATTATCTCTGGGTTACATTTTTTCTTTCCCTGCAGATGTCTCTCCTGCAGCCTGCCTTCTTCCTCCTCTGATTTGGTTTCTCTCTGAAGAGTGTAAAGCTGTGACCTAAGCCTCCCCTCCTTACTCCCTCAAATGGCTTCCCTGTCTCTGAGTCTCCTTCTGTTTGGTTCTGCTCTTGTTTTGCTTGCTGATTCCACAGACAGTTTGCATCCTGGTATCCAGAGAGTGTGCATGTTAGGTACATTTTTAAAGACCTTGGATATCTAAAAGTAAATGTATTCTACCTTTTATATTTGATGGTAATATGGTTTGGATATGTGTCCCTGCCAAAATCTCTTGCCAAATTGTAATCCCCAATGTTTAAGGTGGGGCCTGCTAGGAGGTAAATGAACCATGGAGGCGAATTTCTCCTTCTGGTGCGGTTCTCAAGATAGAGTTATCTCAAGATCTAGTTGTTGGAAAGTGTGTGGCACCTCCCTCCCCCTACTCTCTTCCTCTTGCTCTGGCCAAGTGAAGTATGCCTGCTGCCTCTTCACCTTCTGTAATGATTATGATAATTTTATTCAAAACTGGATTTTTTCGTCTATTGAGCTCCTACTGTGTACCATGCGTTATTTTGGGAGCTGAGGATTTCAGAATAGGTAGAACAAAATTAAAATACACTTAGGTTTCTATGTAAAAAGAATTTTTATTTTGGGGTGACAAGAATGTAAATAAATAACCACAGCAAATTGATATGTGTGTGTGTATATATAGATATTTATATATAAATTTATATACACACAATAAATATCTATATATACACCACCCACCCATATGATTATATAAGAAAAGCAAAAAGCAAAGTAAAAGACTTGGAGAGTGATAGTGGTGTGTCATTTTCTAAATGAAAGTCTCAGGCTCAGAAAATCTGAACAGTGACCCAAAATAAATAAAAGAGCCATGTCTGTATTTCAGATAAGAGCATTCCAGACAGAGTGAAGAACACATCACTTCTGCTGCTCTGACATTAGACTAAAGATCTGAATTTCTGTTATAGCTCAACTGAATTTGCTTGGTTTGCCACTGCAGAGATTAATGCACCAGGTCAATCTCTAGGGGCTCTGGTCTGCAGATTGTCAAGACAGCCTATTCAACATGTAAGAAAAGCTCATGGAACTGAAATCACCTATTTCTGCAAAAGGGGCACAACCATTGTTAATCTCTTTATATTTTGGAGACAAAATATGCCACATTTGAGAATGCTGCTTCAACACATGTACAGAGTGACCCAGAAAGCTGCCTATCTTTACTGAAGCCCAGAGCAAGAGGCAGTTCTGCAGCTGGTGTGGCTGGAGGGAAGGCAGCTCTGCAGTAGAGGACACAGGATGGAGCTGAAGCATCTGCAGCAGGTCACGGTGCTGTGACCTACTGCAGAACTGACAGTTGGCAAGCCCAACTGACAACCACAGTACAGAATTCCAGGGATGTAAAAAAAAATCTAGTTTTGACAAATGTATTGGAAATAGGTCTTGGCTTGCCACTGCACTTCTTTAGAGATTGAACAACTGATCATGGGATATGATGTAACAAGACCTGAAATATCCATTATGAATTGCATGTTATGAGATCTACTGGAAAATAGCATGGTATACACAGTTGCTGTAGACAAGTAAGGAACACTGGTCTATAGGCCATCAAGCTGAAGCACGTGCTATGGGCACAAAAAGGTTGCATGTAGAGGTGACTCAGACCTCCATGGCACCTACCTCCATGCATTGCCACCTTTCAACCCACAACTGAGGCCCTATTGGTGTTTCTTATTAACAGGTAACCAATGGGGGAAATAATTTACCTATCCACAGATGATTCTGTACAATATGCTATTTCCAGTATAATTTAAGCTGGTAGTTATTTGGCCCTGAAAAAAAAAAAAAAACCTGGGGAAAAGATAGCTTTCCAAATGGCAGAAATTTGAACAACATATAGTTTTTGTTTACATCATTTAGAGATAGGCATCTGCATGTATTTATTGCTAATGGCCATAAGTCTGGAACTGTAGACTTTGATATAAACAAAAGATTCAGCAATAATGAGTCTGCAATGAGGTATATGATTGACCAGTTGGAATGAACATGGGAATATTTGTTTCCTATGTGAATGCTTTTTGTGAGTATGAGAAGCTACCAATAATAGGGCTAATAGGGCCAGGTGCAGTTGTTCACGCCTGTAATCCCAGCACTTTGGGAGGCTGAGGCAGGTGGATCATGAGTTCAGGAGATAGAGACAATCCTGGCCAACATGTTGAGACTCTGTCTCTAATAAAAATACAAAATTTAGCTGGTCGTGGTGGTGCGTGCCTGTAATCTTAGCTACTTTGGAGGCTGAGGCAGGAGAATTGCTTGAATCAGGGAGTCGGAGGTTGTAGTGAGCCAAGATGGCGCCACTGCACTCCAGCCTGGTGACAGAGCAAGACTCCATCTCAAAACAAACAAACAAACAAAAAATATGTGTGTATATATATATATGGCCAAATGGATGACTGGGCTTTGGATATTAGACTTTTTCCATACCTTTCACAATGTTTGCTTAATGGGTCCATGGAAGACAATGTGGACATGGTAGGAGGGAGAAGATTTTCCATGAGTTCAAGAACTCATGGACTTTCCTTCACTGATACTGGCCACTGATGCAAATGAGCACCAAGACTGCCAATAATTACCAATGCTGAAATCCTGGAAAGGTGAGCTACCTTGATTAGACCCATCAAATTCCTGGTAGAATTGTAGTAATATTCTTTCCATTTTTTCCTAGAGGTTGTAAAAAAAATTTTATCACTAGAATTGACACACATTTGAATACTGATGTTCCTCTATTATGCTTCTCCTTGCATCAAATTAGTTGCATTTGCTGAGTCTTTATTCTCTGTCCTGATTTTGTACATATTATTGCCACTGATGACAGAGTTTATTTTCCAAAAGAGAAGTGTCACAATAGGCTGCAGCCTGTAAGATTTCTTGGTCTTGTGATTGCCCGCATCATCCAAAACATACCCTTAAAAGAATCAGTTATGTTGCCAACTGTGAGACCATACCCTAAGAGCTTAGGTTTCTATCACACAAGATGTTCCCGGAGGCACATTGATTCCCTCACCCCAGGAACACCAGGAAGTGCAGGATTAGATCTCATGGCCAGAGAAAGGGTTACATTAGTTGGGGAAGACAAACCCACCAAGAATCCCACTGGCATTTGGAGACCTTCACCAGCAGGATACATGGGACTAATTTTAGGCAAAAGCCGTCTTAACTTACAGGGCATTAGTGTAGTCCCAGGAGTTGTTGACTCTGATTATGAAGGAGAAATTCAAGTAGTTTTAATGTCACAAGATCTTTGGGCTTTTGAACCAGGAGAACATATTGCTCAATTATTGCTTATTCCCTATAAATTACACCCTTCTCCATGAAAGGAGAAATGAGGAAATAAAGGTTTTGGGAAGCACAATCACCTGGGAAATCTATCTAAGCCAACCCTAGCCTCTAATAGACTCACCTGTGTAGTATAAATTAAAGGAAATAAATTTTATGCGCTTATGGATACAGGAGCTGATGTGTCAGTAATATCTAAAGACAAATGGCTCCCATCCTGGCCCTTGCAATTAACTTCTACATCCCTAGTGGGAGTAGAAACAGCTCAAAGTGTTCAACACAGTGCTGAGATTTTACCTTGTCTTGGTCTGGATGGACAGTCATGTACTTTTCAGCCCTATGTTGCAAATATAGCTATCAATTTATGGGGTTGAGACTTACAGCATGGGATATGAGACTTACAAATGAAAACTTTGATGACCCAGGATTTAAAATGTTGAAGAACATGGGATATCAGAAAGGAAAAGGTTTGGGGAGGTTCCTACAAGGAAACCCTAACCCGATATCAATAACTGGAAAAACAGATAGAAAAGGGCTAGAATGTCAGGATTTCTGATGGGGGTCATTGATATTTCTCCTCCACCCTCTGCTTTACCATTAGAATGGCTTAGTGACAAACCCATATGGGTGGATCAATGGCCCCTATCTCAGGAGAAGCTGATGCAACATCAGCAGCTAGTAAAAGAACAATTGGATACAGGACCTTATTCCAAAAAGGTCCGGAAGATGGCGACTGCTGTAAGATTTGAGAACTATTAATGCAAAAATTAAACCGATGGGCACCTTACAGAAAGGTGTACCATCTCCAGAGGCTATTAATGTATCTTAAGGATTGTTTCTTTACCATACACTTACACGAGAAGGATAAGCCTCGATTTGCCTTCTCCGTGCCTTCTATTAATCAAAGAGAACCTGTTTCTCATTATCAATGGAGAGTTTTACCCCAAGGCATGCTTAACAGTCCTGTGCTATGTCAGCATTTTGTAGGACAGGCATTAAAGGAGCCTCGGAATATGTTTCCTACTGCTTACATCATTCATTTTATGGATGATATTCTTTTGGCCACTCCTACAGATCAAGTATTGCATCAATTATTCAGAGAAGTAAAGTGAGCTCTTGTTAATTGGAATCTCAAAATTGCTCCAGAGAAGGTACGAACAACTTCTCCATACCAATACTTAGGAACTATTGTTACAGAGAGGAGTGTATGGCCTCAGAAAGTAGTTCTTTGTAAAGACAGGTTATAGACTTTAAATGATTTTCAACAATTATTAGGAGATATTAATTGGCTATGCCCAATGTTAGGTATTGGTACCTATCAACTTACACATCTTTACCAAACCCTGCAAGGAGATTCTTCTTTAAATTCCCCAAGGCAATTAACTAAAGAGGCAAGACGCTGAGTTATGGCTTGTAGAGCAAATGTTACAGCAGAGACATGCCTCACAGCTACAACTGCAAAAACCTTTGCTTTTGTTTATTCTTCCTACCCCCCACTCTCTAGTAGGACTTTTGGGCCAGTTCATAGACAAGTCTGTAACAGTAATAGAATGGCTCTTTCTACCTAATCAAACCATCAGTACCTTGCAAGTTTATCTTTCTTTAATTACACAAATGGTGACTAGGGGCAGGCATAGGTCAAAAATGCTTACGGGATATCACCCTGACAAAATTATTGTTCCTTTAGACTCCCAGCAACAGGCCACAGCTTGGGAAATGTCAATTGCATGGCAAATTGCTTTTGCAGACTTTGTGGGAATAATAGAAAAATCATTATCCCTCAGACAAAATTTTGCAGTTTTATAAAATGCATTCTTTCATTCTTCCTGTGATTACTCATCACAAGCCTATTCCAGGTGGCCAGAATTATTTTACTGATGGCTGTTCCAAAGGCTGTGCCACTGTCTATGGACCTAAACATACTGAACCATTAATGACCTCTGGGGTTTCAGCTCAATGCTCAGAGTTAATTGCAGTCATTCAGGTTTTACAGCTCACAGCTTCAGATCCTATCAACATTTTCTGTGATTCAGCTTATGTTGTAAATGTAGCCAGTTGCATAGAAACTGCTACAATTAAAAGTACACTAGACCTGGAACTGCTTAATTTATTTTTAAGATTTCAACATGATATTTATTCTTGTGCAGCTCCTTTTCATATTTCTCATGTTTGTTCTCACACACAACTTCCTGGACCATTATCCTTAGGAAATGATAAAGCAGATAAATTGATTGGTTCTGTGTTTCAGCAAGCGCTACTGCACGAAAATACTTCCGCCCTTACTCACATGTTCCATTTATCTCGCAGCCAAGCTAGGGCTATAATACAAGCCTGTCCTATTTGCCAGCATGTCCCCGGAGCCACACCTGTAGAAGGCTGTAACCCATGATGTTTGGCTCCAAATGAAATTTGGCAAATGGATGTTACACACATAGCAAACTTTGGTAAGCTTAGCTATATTTCTGTGACTATAGACACTTATTCTCATATGCTGCATGATACATGCCAAACAGGTGAGACAATTGGTCATGTACAGTGACATTGTCATCCTTTGTTCATATGGGGATACATAAACAATTAAAAACTGACAATGGACCTGCTTATACTAGTCATGCTTTTCAAAATTTCTTACAGCTTTGAGCTATAACCCATAAAACAAGAATTCCTTATAATCCTAGAGGACAAGGCATTATAAAGTGGGCACATCAAACATTACAACACATGTTGAAAACACAAAAAGGGGGTATAGGAGGCCAACTACCACCTCAGTCAAAACTACATTTAGCCTTATTTACTTTAAATTTTTTGACTTCTGGTACAGATGGTAAGGCTCCAGCAGAAAGACATTGGCAAGTGTTAGAGGAAAAGAGGAAAGTTTATCCAAAAGTTTTATGGAAATCCCCAGAAGAAGGACAATGGAAAGATCCAGTGGATTTACTGATGAGAAGACAAGGTTATACTCGTGTTTTTACAGGAGATGGACAAACCGTGTGGATGCCCTCAAGGTGCATGAGACCATGGAATGGGAGACTGGAGGAACCCAGGGTGGCCAACCATGGGCTTCGCCCCTTGGTATGAGCCATGAGCCAGCTGAGCCTGAGTGTGAAGACAGGGAGAAGGCTGACTAGAGTCACGACGACATCAACCCAATAACTTGGGGGCAACTCAAGAAAACCATGCAGGAAGCTGAGAAACAAGTGGAGCATCAAAACCAGACAAAAACCCCTAATTACATGTTCATGGCCATGTTAGCCATAATGTCCTGTGCGGTATGTTTTCCATGTGCAGAGGCAAAAACATATCGTGCATATCTTCCCAATTCCCCAGCAGTACAACCTATACTTTGGAGTGACACTCCTCCTGAGATTTATCATGATCAAGGAGCATGGGCTTCAGGACCCCTAACTCCCCCTGACATAGAACAGTTAGACTCTCAGAATAATGTCATTAATTATATCGCTCCACTGGAAGGACTTCTCATGTGTATCACCACAAAGATGTCACTCAGCCATAGGTGTCTTACAATTCAAGCTCAAATATGGTTGAGTCACTATAGAAAAATCATGTCCTTATTAAGTCTTAGTTCTATTAATGTAACTGGTGTGCTAACCAACCATTCCCAGCCCAATTGTCCTAATTGTGCTGCTCTACAGAATGGATTCCCTTCAATAGTTCCTACCCCCCTCCTTGGACCCAGTGTCTTGGCCCAGTGCCTAGAAAACAATCTATGTTAACTGGAGACATTATGGATTGGGGACCTAAAGTTCAGTTAGATGGAAAAGATGAAAATCGGAAATCATGGCACAAACTTTGCTGGCATTGATGGCAAGCTTTTAATGCTTCTTCTTTATACAACACTGGAATCCAATCCATCTGCCACCCAGATTGCTTGGCATGGAGCAGGCTTTAGCCCATCTCTTCCTCAGCGGCATTATCTAGGGAGGAAAGGACCAATTCGAGAGACGATATGGAAGGCAGCACTCCCATTTATGAATGGCAACATCTGGGTTGGTATATTATCCAATAATAGCAATAGTAAATGACACAGTCTTAATGTTGCATTTGTAAAGAATATCACCACTCAATTTACAGTTTTTTTTTTTGTTTTTTTGTTAGTTTTCATTTTTTTTGAGACAGAGTCTCACTCTGTCACCCAGGCTGGAGTGCAATGGCATGGTTTCAGCTCACTGCAACCTCTGCCTCCTGGGTTCAAGTGGTTCTCCCACCTCAGCCTCCCGAGTAGCCAGGACTACAGGCATGTGCCACCACACCCAGCTAATTTTTGTATTTTTAGTAGAGATTGGATTTCACTATGTTGGCCAGGCTGGTCTTGAACTCCTGACCTTGTGATCCACCTGCCTCGGCCTCCCAAAGTGCTGGGATTACAAGTGTGAGCCATTGTGCCTGGTCTACAGTTTGTGTTTTTAATCTTCACGTTTTTTTGGCAGCTAAGAAGGACCAGCTCCAGGTAAACAATACCCAACTGACCTGTAAATCTTGCCAATTATATCACTGCATTAATCATAGCACATTGCAAACACACAGTGTCTCTACTTTGATGATTTTAGATCGCATCCCTGGGCTATGGATTCCTGTCAGTCTGTCCAAGCCTTGTATTCTCACACCTCCTTTGCATTTTGTGAAGCTTCTTCTAACTCAGCTTACTCATCATGTCCATAGAGCCTTAGGCATGATAATTTTCACTATTGTTTCCTTGGTCACACTAATAACTTCTGTTGTGATGTCCTCTGTAGCTTTGCATAGTTCTATTCAAACTGCTCAGTATGTGGAGAACTGGACGCGCACAGCTGACCAAGCATGGCTACTTCAGAATAAAATTAACACTGAGTTTCAAACTGAAGTGGCAATGTTAAAATTCATGGTTCTATGGTTAGGAGAACAAGTACAAAGCTTACAATTGCAGGAGCAATTGCGTTGTCATTTTAGTCACACTCATGTTTGTGTAACCAACTTAGAATATAACCAAAGTGAGTATCCATGGGGCCTTGTGAAAGCCCATTTGCAGGGAGCTTTCACATCCAACATCACCTTTGATATTGGTGAATTACAAAACAAAATTCTTATTTAAATAGGCAAACTCAAGAGTTTCAGCCTTCTTTAGAAGACTGGACTGAATTCCAGCAAGGCCTGGAGAGCCTCAACCCTTGGAACTATCTAAAGCACCACGTTAACTAACATCTTGTATGTAGTTCTTGGAATAATGTTGTTTTGTCTCTGTCTTCTGTTCACAGTCTGTAAAATCAGATGGAACGCCAATTGGAAAATGAGAGCTGCCCACCCTGGCCTTACATTGTTTTAATTAATACATAAACACAAAGTGGGAGAGGTTGAGAGCCAAAAAGGCCAAAGGGATTGTGACCAACTCAGCATTCCACTAGAGGCCATATGATCAAACAGCAAGCTGTTTGTCATGAATGGAGGATGTGAGCAAACTCACAACTGCGCCTGCCACCAGAAGGTTTGCTGAGGGTGGTCACTCCCTGGCACTGGGCTCCTTGAGGTTATCTACTGGGACATCTAGAGCCTATTGTTCAAGGAATGCAGTCTTGCAGGCCTACTCTGGACTGAGCAAATGACCTCTTCTTCCATCCCCCTTCTCACTATCTCTTTTACCAATAAATACGAAGGGCTGTGGAAAATCTGGGCCCTTGTCTACTAGAGACAAGGTGCCCCCGACCCCTTCTTTCAAACATACTCTTTTGTCTTTGTCTTTCTTTCCACATTCACCCTCCTTTCTTCAGTCCACCAGGGATCGAGTTCAGTAACAGACTCAGAACTTTGGGAGGTCGAGGCAGGGGTATCATGAGGTCAGGAGTTTGAGAACACCCTGACCAACATGGTGAAACCCTGTTTCTACTAAAAATACAAAAATTAGCTGGGTGTGGTGGTACGTGCCTGTAACCTCAGCTACTCAGGTGGTTGAGGCAGGAGAATCCCTTGAACCTGGGAGGCAGAGATTGCAGTTTGCCAAGATCACGCCACTGCACTCCAGCCTGGGCGACAGAGCAAGACTCCATGTGAAAAAAAAAAATAGAATAAAGAGTTTATTAAGAATTTTATGGCTGGGCATGGTGGCTCCCGCCTGTAATCCCATCACTTTGGGAAGCTGAGGCAGGTGGATCATGAGGTCAGGAGATCGAGACCATCCTGGCTAACATGGTGAAACCTTGCCTCTATTAATAATACAAAAAAAAAATTAGCTGGGCATGGTGGTGGGCGCCTGTAGTCCCAGCTACTGGGGAGGCTGAGACAGGAGAATAGCGTGAACCAGGGAGGCGGAGCTTGCAGTGAGCGGAGATCACGCCACTGCACTCCAGCCTGGGCGACAGAGTGAGACTCCGTCTAAAAAAAAAAAAAAGAATTTTATAAGGTTGTTTGAGTATTAAATTTAAAAATGCATTTGAATTTTGTGCTTTGTAAATAGTAACAAGCTGCAGAAATTTTTGTTCCTTGTTCTTTGTCTTAAGCTTTGCACCCATCAACATTAAATACCATTCATTGCACAAAATAGTTATTTAGTTGTCAGGAACTAAGTAAATTAATATTAGAAAATAATATAAGATTTTGGTAAAATAAAAACAACCTTCCATTTACTGACTCTCTTTATCTGTGTTGTGTTTTACACCAGATGAATAACGTAAAAATCCCTTAATGATTCAAAGCAGGAATTCTTTACACTTAAAGCTCAAAACAGCATTCTATGCAAGTGCTGTTTTCCACATTCTCAATCATTCTACTTCTGTCTTGCATTTCCACCTGGAAATATGCCTTTCAGTATCAGTTTTGAATTGTCAATGTTTCTGCCATTTTGCTAAGATCATTCCCTTCCTTAATCACAAAACTGTGCGAAACCATAAGAAACCTCTGGTAGGGTCATTGTTCCCATAGACCTTTTTTTCAAGATATGCTCAGATTCCCTAAGACAAAAATGGGAAGTAAAGCATTTGAGGAGAAGAATATAAATGATTTACAACAATATTCACTTTGAAAACAGAGCCAGACTTACAAAGAAATGGTATCTTTTTTTTCTTTTTTTTTTTTTTTTGAGACGGAGTTTTGCTCTTGTTGCCCAGGCTGGAATGCAATGGCGTGATCTCAGCTCACCACCATCTCCGCCTCCCAGGTTCAAGTGATTCTCCTGCCTCAGCCTCCCAAGTAGCTGGGATTACAGTCATGCATCACCAAGCCTGGCTAATTTTTTGTATTTTTAGTAGAAACAAGGTTTCTCCATGTTGGTCAGGCTGGTCTCCAACTCCCGACCTCAGGTGATGCACCTACCTCAGCCCCCCCAAGTGCCGGGATTACAGGTGTGAGCCACCATACTTGGCTGAAATGTTTTTAATAATTTAAAGACACTAGAAATCAAGGTGTTATCCAGGAATATAAATTGTTTAAATTATTTAACCTTTTTGATATATTAACTTAGATGTCAGGGGTTTCTGGAATTCAATTCTAGTAATTTCAGATATTTAACAACTTTATCTGCATCATTAATTTAATTTTACAACTTTATCTGCACCATTAATTTAATTTTTGCAAGTTTGTGACTTGTGATTCTTTTTTGCCAAATAAGTTAATGTCTTCTATATTCTATAATAGAAATAAATTTTAGAGTCATAAAATATGTCTAGAAAAAGGGTCTGTTTCAAATTCTTTCTCACTAGTAGTTTATCAGAAAGTTGTAATTAAGATATCAGTGGGACATCTAGGAAATACTGATGTTACATTTACAGAGAAAGTAAACAAGCAATTGCTCTGGTGGGTTCAGATAATCCCTAAATTATCTAGTTTAATCTGGTGTACTTAAAGATATCCTGGCTGCAGAAAATCTGGTTGAATTTGCATGAGTGTAAGAATGTGAGGATGTGTGTGTGCCTGTTTGTATATACATGTTTGCATAGTGGGAAAGTTTAGAATGAAAATCAAGTTCTGATGCAAAAGAATTAATGTCACAGATATTCATTAAAAAGTAATCTCTCTGTCATTCTGCTATTAGTGAGTATGCATTCTGTCCACACAAGCCTGTTTTTTGCTTTCTGAGGTTGCCGCAGGCCATTTCAGCTTTTCTGATTCAGTTGCTTCTAGTGATTGCAGATATCTTCCACTGCAGAAAATTGCAATTTATTAGTTCCTATTCTGTTTCCTAGACTCATCTACATAGAGAGAGTACTAAAAGATTCAGTTTTAAAAAGTTTTTATGCACATCAAAAATATTATTCCTCTTTTGTAACTCGTTCATGTCTATGTCTATTATTTGCATCAGGTAATGACTCAAACATTTCTCAAAATCTAGGAAGTTTACTATATTTCTCTTAAAGTTGGCTTATTTAGGGACTATAAGGTAATAAAATTCAGTAAGAATAGAGCTAGAACTACTAAAATTAGTCAGGACTATTAGATAATCTATTAAATTCTACGTTAATCTCGAGATAATTATGTATTTCAAATTTTACTCTAAAAAAGTACTGTAGATGGGGCGCGGTGGCTCACACTTGTAATCCCAGCACTTTGGGAGGCCGAGGCAGGCAGATCACGAGGTCAAGAAATCGAGACCATCCTGGCCAACATGGTGAAACCCCATCTCTACTAAAAATACAAAAATTAGCCTGGCACAGTGGTGCATGCCTGTAATCCCAGCTACTGAGGAGGCTGAGGCAGAAGAATCGCTTGAACCCGGCAGACGGAGGTTGCAATGAGCTGAGACCGCACCATTGCACTTCAGCCTGGGCGACAGAGCGAGACTTCGTCTCAAAAATAAATAAATAAATAAAAGCTCAGCAATTATAGGAAATGTATTTCGTATAGACTTAGAAAATTCCCATTTTTGTATGGTCTTGGGTGCCTTATTTTTTTAATTTTTTCCTTTTTTTTTTTTTTTTTTTTTTTTGAGATGGAGTCTCGCTTTGTCGCCCAGGCTGGAGTGCAGTGGTGCGATCTCGGCTCACTACGAGCTCCACCTCCCAGGTTCACAGCATTCTCCTGCCTCAGCCTCCTCAGTAGCTGGGACTACAGGTGCCCACCACCACGCCCGGCTAATTTTTTGTATTTTTAGTAGAGACGGGGTTTCACTGTGTTAGTCAGGATGGTCTCGATCTCCTGACCTCGTGATCCGCCCGCCTCGGCCTCCCAAAGTTCTGCGATTACAGGCGTGAGCCACTGCGCCCGCCCTCTAGTTTTTTTTTTTTTTTTTTTTAATATATATGACTGAAGACTGTGTGTACTTATCTGCCCTTACTGACAGAAAATCAAGAGTGCACATGAAAGCATTCTCTTGAATAAGGAAGGAAGCCTTATTTCTAATCTTCTATAGACTGAATTATGGAAGGTAAGATTAGTGAAACACTCTATGTCCAGAGCACTGAATGTCTTTCTGTCCACTGGCCACAGTAAGTTTGAATAGGTGGAGGTCAATGGTCAACACTAGGAATCAACAGGAATAATGCCAAAAATAAGGGGTCAGCTTATGAGAGATTAGATGACAAAATATGGCTTGAACTGACTCAGCAAGTATTACAAACTTTAGCAACTGATGCCCACTGACACTTAACAATAACACGGACTGGTGGCTGGGCATGGTGGGTCACGCCTGTATCGAACACCTGAGTTCAGGAGTTTGAGACCAGCCTGACCAACACGGAGAAACCCCTAATATACAAAATACTAAAAACACAAAATTAGCCAGGCATGGTGGTGGGCGCCTGTAGTCCCAGCTACTCAGGAGGCTGAGGCAGGAGAATTGCTTGAACCCAGGAGGTGGAGGTTTCGGTGATCCGAGATCAAGCCATTGCACTCCAGCCTGGGCAACAAGAGCAAAACTCCATCTCAAAAAAAAAAAAAGAAAGAAAGAAAGGCCAGGCGCAGTGGCTCACGCCTGTAATCTTAGTACTTTGGGAGGCCGAGGCGGGCAGATCGCCTGAGGTCAGTTCAAGACCAGCCTGACCAATATGGTGAAACTCCGTCTCTACTAAAAATACAAAAATTAGCCATGCATGGTGGCAGGCACCTGTAATCCTAGCTACTCAGGAGGTTGAGGCGGGAGAATCGCTTCAACCCTTGAGGCGGAGATTGCAGTGAGCCAAGGTCGCACCACTGCACTCCAGCCTGGGCGACAGAGCGAAACTCCGTCTCAAAAACAAAAAAAAAAAAAAGAGAAAAAAAAGAAAAGAAAAAAAGAAGGCCTAGTGACTATAAGAATCTTTATATTAGTATTTATTTATTATGTTGTTTATATATTTATTAATTATGTGTATTATGTTGTTTATATTAATTATGTAGTTTATGTTTTTAGCAAGAACATTGAGTCTGCACATGTGTGCACAAGTTCACATTTTAAAACAACAGAGAACATTAAAACAAAAAATCTTTCATTAAAGTGAACCATTCCAACCTCAAAAAAGATTAAGTTAAAACATGAAACCACTCTTTATATCTTGCTTCAAATACCTCATAATTATCACAGAGATTGTAGAGAGCACCTGTTTTGTTTAATAAAATATAAGCATATAAGTTTAAGATAGTCTGGGGCAAAGGTAGCAGACAGTGGGAAAGTCTTCTGGATTTGTTTTTGTTTTCCACATTCTGAAAAAGTCCTATGAAATAGCAAAAAGAAAAAAAAAAAAAAAAAAAGACTTCTTAAGCTATTGCATGCAAACCCAAACCCAACAAGATATTAAAGTCAAGTGATTCCCTATGGATTCACTGAGCGGGGAGAATTTCAGTACCAGTTGTCTAGGTTTCAGATTAAGTCATGGGCTCAGTGAGTGAATTCATGGTATTAGCTCTGTGTGTGTACACAGGATGCTGTCATTGCATCACTGTGAGGACACAGATGGCAGCATCAGTCATATATATATTGGGGCTCTTATAATACTGTTATAACCATGGGTGTGCAAATATTACTTCTAGTTCCTGCTTTGCATACATAGGCTTTTTCTGTATAATGTTCAGAGAAAGAGAGCTTTTTTTTTTTTTTTTTAATTTAAATATTGAGTTTTCTGAACCATTTGTTGGAGAGTCAGTTTTTCTCCCCATTGTTTGGTCATGATAATGGCCATGCAATGCCAAGCTGGAGCTACTGCTTTGTCCATTTCTGGAGCACCCAGTCCGTGAGTGCCTTCAGATTTGCCCCAGTGCCCCTGCCTGAGGTGTGAAATGGTGGCAACTTCTGGCACCTGTTATTGCCTGACCCATGGAGCTCCCAGCCCTGCTGTCCCCTCTGTCCTGGGTATCCTGTGCCTGGAGGTCTGGTCACTCCTGCTTCCACAGCACGCCTCCTATTCTGGCTCCTTCAACTCCCTTCCTCCTAGTTCTCATGGTCGGGCACCTGGCTTCTTAGAGATGCAGAAGCAGCATGGCACCTTGGGTTCTGAACAGGGTGAGCAGATGCAGAAAATGGGGGCAAATAATATTTTGTAATATGTTAGAGAATATTTATTAAATATTAAGCCAACACTTATTTTGTGAAAAAATATTACTTGATTATGGTATGTAATTTTTTTTTTTTTTTGAGACAGAGTCTCACTCTGTTGCCCAGGCTGGAGTGCAATGGCGTGATCTAGGCTCACTGCAACCTCCCCCTCCCGGGTACAAGCCATTCTCTTTCACCAGCCTCCCAAGTTGCTGAGATTACAGGTGCACACCTCCACATTCAGCTAATTTTTGTATTATTATTATTATTATTTTTTAGTAGAGACAGGGTTTCACCATGTTGGCTAGGCTGATCTCGAACTCCTGGCCTCAAGTGATCCACCTGCCTCGGCCTCCCAAAGTGCTGGGATTACAGGCCTGAGCCCCAACGCCCGGCCTGCAATCTTTTTTTTTTTTTTTTTTTTTTTTTTTTTTTTTTTTGAGACAGAGTATCTCAGGTGGCTCATGCCTGTAATCCCAGCACTCTGGGAGGCTGAGGTGGGCAGATCACCTGAGGTCAGGAGTTCGAGGACCAGCCTGGCCAATATGGCAAAACCCCGTCTCTACTAAAAATACAAAAATTAGCTGGGCGTGGTCGCGGGCCTCTGTAATCCCAGCTACTTGGGAGGCTGAGGTATGAGACTCACTTGAACCCGGGAGGCAGAGGTTGCAGTGAGCCAAGATCTCACCACAGCACTGCAGCCTGGGTGACAGAGGGAGATTCTGTCACAAACAAACAAACAAATATACAAACAAAAAACAAGAAAAAAAATTACATGGGATAGAAAAGTACATCAACAACTAATAGCTGAAAACTTTAGCAATTGGTAAAACCTTATTATGTTGATCTAAGAAGATTAACAACCTGACAAGGAAAATACAAATTAAAGCACATCTTAGGCATATCATAATCAAACCACTAAAAATCTAAAGATAAAACAATATAAGAAAAAATTATACAAACCTAATATTCTTTTTTTTTTTTTTTTGAGATGGAGTTTTGCTCTTATTGCCCAAGCTGGAGTGCAATGGCACAATCTCGGCTCACCACAACCTCCCTCTCCCGGGTTCAAGCGATTCTCCTGCCTCAGCCTCCAGAGTAGCTGGGATTACAGGCACCCACCACCATGCCTGGCTAATTTTTGTATTTTTCTAGAGACGGAGTTTCACCATGTTGTTGGCCAGGCTGGTCTTGAACTCCCGACCTCAGGTGATCCGGCCGCCTCGGCCTCCCAAAGTGCTGGGATTACAGGCGTGAGCCACTGCGCCCAGGCTCAAGCCCAATATTCTTAAATGTCTGTAAGTTACTCTAAAATATCTTTGCTTTACCAGAAACATTTGTACATATATAAAAATTCTGGTTGAACTACCCCTGAATTCATTACTTAGATAGGCTTCTATTTTATTAGATTCACTAAGCAAGTCACACCAAAATACCTTAAAAGTAAGCCTTTTGCTGTTTGCCATGTTGACAATGTGTATTTAGCTAAAATATGGCTGTTTTTTCTCTGACAAAATTTGCCTGCTTGTAAATGCCCAGAGTAAAAGGACTAAAGTTCGTAAAATATAGATACAAAGTCTGGCACTGAAAAGATTCAAGAGTTTAAATTTCAATGAGCCTAAAATTACGGTATTTACCCAAAATGTGAGGATTCTAAATAACCAGCTGTGGGAGAGTTAAAGAACCACTTAGGGTTGCATTCCCGTGGAGGCTCCCTTGATCAGAAACACTGCCATAGTCACGAGGGATGTCTACAAACCAAGATTCAAAGTATATGTTTTTATAGCTTAAGATACCCCATTTTAAGGCAGGAAAAAATCTCTGTCAGATGGTCTAGTTTGATGCTAATTTTAATGAGTGACATATTCTAGTTGAACTAATTTGATATTTGTTACAGAAAAAAAGGCAGCAGGTGGATTCCCATTTCCAGGGCATTAATAATTGGATGCTTGGTGTCTCAGGGTTTATTCTAACCAAGATGACTGAGAGTAATGGACACAGTTTTACCTTTACCCAAAAAAGTTTATTTCAAGTGAAACATTTTTTAAAAATTTACTTTATTAAATATAACTCTAAGAATATAGAGGGTTTTTTTTTAATGACTTCTCAAGAACAGGTATTGGCAAACTTTTTATAAGAAAGCAGAGAGTAAATAATGTATACTGTACCACGTAGCATTTGCCACATCCACTTTCTTCAGCCCTGAAGCTCTAAGAGGCTGGAATAAATGAAGGCAGTGAAGGGGTAGCCAGTGGGGCCTCAGCCAGCAGGCCCATGGCTGCTGCTGGTCCCTGATATGGGGGGAGCCACAAGGGAACACAGCAGGTTATGCAGGACACAGACCCTTGAGTTTGCTGAAGTTTCCCATGGGGCCAGGCTCTGCCCCAGAAATGCCACTAACAGTACCCACTCATCGTGAGGGCTGTACGCACATCTTTTGCCTGCTCCCACCCTTTGCCCAGCCTGGAGCCTGCTGCTGCCACTGCCAGGGGAACATGGCCACCTGCAATGAGATCAGGCAGAGGAAATAGTGTAAGGGTCAGGATTTCAGCAGCTCCCCATGTTTCTACAGGCAGCTTCTTTTTCCAGGAACAGGGTCCTGTTTCCAAGCTAGCATCTGGGATTGTGGGGGTTCTTATGTGCTCCCTGGAAGGCGCTCTTGGCTGCAATTTTGGGCAAGGGTTTTGGGAGGTCTTCAAAGGCACAGGACTAAACTTCCAAACATAGCAGCTGTGCCCTGGGGTCTTCATGCCACCATTCTGACTGTGGATTTATTCATAATGATAAGATTTCACATTTTTATAACTTTAAAATAAAGAATTTTTATTTTTAATTAAAATTTCCATGCCTTCTGTAATATTTTCAGATACTATATTTGAGGCTATCCTGTAAATGTCTTATACTTGTATCTTTTGTGGTTGTTTGCATGTTTCAATAGTGATGTTATTATTACTGTAAAAGTTTTAAGTTTGTGTTTTAGGAGACTTTGACCTATTTGTGGCCTCTTTTTGAGACTCATGTTTATTGTAGAAAGAGGAACCACAGAGGTCCATGTTTGAGTCAGATCAATCTCCTTTTGCCATCAAGGATTTAACATCAGAGGCTCCAAAAATGTAAAAGCTGATTTAATCCTGAACAAAAAGTGTATGTATTATTAATATGACACAGGAAAATATTTTTGTTCATCTTCTGAATAAATTGAAAAGGAAAAACAGAAAAAATAGGACTTTTCTCATGCTGGCTTTTTCAGGTCTTTTGATTGAAAAACTGAATCTCCTGTATCAAACAATAAAAGATTATTTATTTTATTTTTTTCTGAGGCGGGAGTCTCACTCTGTCACCCACGCTGGAGTGCAGTGGTGCAATCTCCACCTCCCAGGTTCAAGCGATTTTCCTGCCTCAGCCTCCCAAGTAGCTGGGATTACAGGCACCCACCACCACTCCTGGCTAATTGTGGTATTTTTAGTAGAGATGGGGTTTCACCATATTGGCCAGGCTGGTCTCAAACTCCTGACCTTGTGGTCCACCTGCCTTGGCCTCCCAAAGTGCTGGGATTACAGGCACCCACCACCACTCCTGGCTAATTGTGGTATTTTTAGTAGAGATGGGGTTTCACCATATTGGCCAGGCTGGTCTCAAACTCCTGACCTTGTGGTCCACCTGCCTTGGCCTCCCAAAGTGCTGGGATTACAGGCATGAACCACTGCACCCAGCCCAAGATTTTGGTGGTTTTTTTTTTTAATCTTTTAATTATCACTTTGGCTAAATAAGTGACTATTATTTTATGAGAACTTGTGGTTCTATTTTGGTCAAGTGTTTTTTTTTTTTTTCTTTTTTTTTTTTCTTTATTGATCATTCTTGGGTGTTTCTCGCAGAGGGGGATTTGGCAGGGTCATAGGACAATAGTGGAGGGAAGGTCAGCAGATAAACAAGTGAACAAAGGTCTCTGGTTTTCCTAGGCAGAGGACCCTGCGGCCTTCCGCAGTGTTTGTGTCCCTGGGTACTTGAGACTAGGGAGTGGTGATGACTCTTAACGAGCCTGCTGCCTTCAAGCATCTGTTTAACAAAGCACATCTTGCACCGCCCTTAATCCATTTAACCCTGAGTGGACACAGCACATGTTTCAGAGAGCACAGGGTTGGGGGTAAGGTCATAGATCAACAGGATCCCAAGGCAGAAGAATTTTTCTTAGTACAGAACAAAATGAAAAGTCTCCCATGTCTACCTCTTTCTACACAGACACGGCAACCATCCGATTTCTCAATCTTTTCCCCACCTTTCCCCCTTTTCTATTCCACAAAACCGCCATTGTCATCATGGCCCGTTCTCAATGAGCTGTTGGGTACACCTCCCAGACGGGGTGGTGGCCGGGCAGAGGGGCTCCTCACTTCCCAGTAGGGGCGGCCGGGCAGAGGTGCCCCTCACCTCCTGGATGGCACGGCTGGCCGGGCAGGGAGCTGACCCCCCCCACCTCCCTCCCGGACGGGGTGGCTGCTGGGCGGAGACGCTCCTCACTTCCCAGATGGGGCGGCTGCCGGGCGGAGGGTCTCTTCACTTCTCAGACGGGGCGGCCGGGCAGAGACGCTCCTCACCTCCCAGACGGGGTCGCGGCCGGGCAGAGGCACTCCTCACATCCCAGACGGGGCGGCGGGGCAGAGGCGCTCCCCACATCTCAGACGATGGGCAGCCGGGCAGAGACGCTTCTCACTTCATCCCAGACGATGGGCGGCCGGGCAGAGACGTTCCTCACTTCCTAGACAGGATGGCGGCCGGGCAGAGATGCTCCTCACTTTCCAGACTGGGCAGCCAGGCAGAGGGGCTCCTCACATCCCAGACGATGGGCGGCCAGGCAGAGACGCTCCTCACTTCCCAGACGGGGTGGTGGCCGGGTAGAGGCTGCAATCTCGGCACTTTGGGAGGCCAAGGCAGGCGGCTGGGAGGTGGAGGTTGTAGCGAGCCGAGATCATGCCACTGCACCCCAGCCTGGGCACCATTGAGCACTGAGTGAACGAGACTCCGTCTGCAATCCCGGCACCTCGGGAGGCCGAGGCTGGCGGATCACTCACGGTTAGGAGCTGGAGACCAGCCCGGCCAACACAGCGAAACCCCGTCTCCACCAAAAAAATATGAAAAACAGTCAGGTGTGGCGGCGCGCGCCTGCAATCGCAGGCACTCGGCAGGCTGAGGCAGGAGAATCAGGCAGGGAGGTTGCAGTGAGCCGAGATGGCAGCAGTACAGTCCAGCTTTGGCTCGGCATCAGAGGGAGACCGTGGAAAGAGAGGGAGAGGGAGACCGTGGGGAGAGGGACAGGGTGATGGAGAGGGAGAGGGAGAGGGAGAGGGAGAGGGAGAGCCAATTTTTATATATCTGGTCAAGTGTTTTAACCCTTTGACATATTTGACAGGTTTTCCAGAATGAAATTTCCGCTTAATAATTGTCTTTTCTTTGACCCTTAACTTTTAGATGCTGCAGAGGGCTAATGCAACATCCAGAAGAGTAATCATCAGAATTATTTGATATGTTAAGTTACATGGAAGGCATCATAACATTAAAAATGATGTCTGACCTTCAACTTATATTTTAATAAGTGCTATTAGCATTTATTTGAAAATTGTATGAAATTTCTGAGTATATGCTATTAGTCATAATTATGGTTATTATGATAGGTTATTGTAGGACACAGATAAAATCAATTTTTTCATTTGTTTCTTTATAACTATTTTAAGTTATTTCCACAGTTAATGAATTAATTTTAGCATAGTTTTATGAAAAGATGGAAAGGACCCAGACAAGTTGAGTACAAGTTTCTGATAATTTTACAATCAAACTGTTTAGACTGGGTAAGAATTGTGAGAATTCTAATGAAGAGAATGACTCTTATGAAACTACTAATCCAGGCAAAACAAAAATTAATTGAACATCATGAAAATACTCTACCACATTTTTATACTAAATTAGCCAGTACTAAAATTGTTTTAGATATGCCGTTTGAATAAACTCTGTGGTACAAGTCAAATTATGTATGATAACTTCTCAGTTATCAGTGCTATGCACCTGAATTGAAGAAACAAACCAGATATTGAAGAGGACATAAATTTAATGTTGTGTGTGGACTCATGGAGAACCTAGACAGCCAACAGCCACTTGTTTATTTCTGAGTTCTTAAAGTTTCCTCTATCAAAATCACTGCATTTAATTACTCATCACAGAAGAGATAAAAAATAAATTAAGCTAAATATAAATTGAGTGTGTGTGTGTGTATGTGTGTGTGTGTGTTTGGTGATTATTCTAATTACTAAAATAGGTTAGGACCAATTTTTTTTTTTTGTCAAACAGAATCCCGAGAAGACAATCAAAACTTCATGTACATTTCTGCTACCCAATGGGCTATTTAAACATTTGTAAAGAAATTTTAGGCCGGGTGCAGTGGCTCACTCCTGTAATCCCAGCACTTTGGGAGGCAGAGGTGAGTAGATCTCTTGAGGTCAGGAGTTCGAGACCAGCCTGGCCAACATGGTGAAACTCTGTCTCTACTAAAAATACAAAATAGCTGGACATGGTGGCACCCACCTGTAATCCCAGCTACTCAGGAGGCTGAGGCAGGAGAATCGCTTGAACCCAGGAGGCAGAGGTTGCAGTGAGCTGAGATTATGCCACTGCACTGCAGCCTGGGTGACAGAGCGAGGTTCTGCTTTAAAAAAAAAAAAAAAGGAAAGAAATTTTATTTAATTGTCATTTTTAATTCATGTCTGTAGAATAAAAGTTTTCTCAGGCCGGGCATGGTGGCTCACGCCTGTAATCCCAGTACTTTGGGAGGCCGAGGTGGGTGGATCACCTGAGGTCGGGAGTTCAAGACCAGCCTGACCAACATGGAGAAACCCTGTCTCTACTAAAAATACAAAATTAGCAGGGCATGGTGGCACATACCTGCAATCCCAGTTACTTGGGAGACTGAGGCAGGAGAATCGCTTGAACCCAGGAGGCAGAGGTTGTGGTGAGCCGAGATCGTGCCATTGCACTCTAGCCTGGGCAACATGAGCAAAACTCCATCTCAAAAAAAAAAAAAAGTTTTCTCATGCAAAAAGTTTGATGTTATAACAGTAGCCAAAATAATATTAGGAAATATGTTTTGCTCGTGAAACATTTCTTAAAAAGTCTCCAATAATAGGGATACTTATTTTACTAGACATGTTATAAAACTGTTAAATAAGGTATTACAGAAACAGTAATATTGAGCAAAGTTAACTAAATTGACAGAATTGCTTTTGTAGTTGCAGATTGATGACAATCAGGTTAACTGAGAGTGAAAAAATGTGTTGACGATTGTAAAATAGTCATTGGAAGGCTTATGCACCTGATAAAAGAACCTCATGTATCTTCTGCTACTGAAGTCTAATATGACTAAATGCAGCAAAGCTTTAATGCATTACGGCAAAGCATATTTTCACTAGGTAAAGAATGCTTTTAATGGTTTACTGATGGAATACTATAAAACCCTTTATAATTTAGAAACCAGAGAGATTGAGTCTGCCTGCCATCTACACTGCAGCAAGACTTCAGGACTTTAAACCTTGGTTTGATAATCTCATGACTCAGAAGGGCCCCTCCAAACTTGCAATTGTATACCCATTGGAGATCTTAAAGTAAAGCTAAGCAGGGAAGCTTCTCCTCAAAAGCAGATGGTAACATTAACATAGATAGCTTTTTTTTTAACAAGATAAAAAAATCAAGAAAGACATCTCTGCTATTACGACACTCTTAGTCCACTGTTTTTTTCTTATGGCTCTCCAAATGACAGAAATAAAAAAGGGGTCACTTGTGTGCCTTCATGAGCTACACTTTTACATGAAAATGATTTTGCAGCCAACCTTCTATATGGGCAAACTTATGCCTTGATAGGTAAAAGACGAAGGGCCAATATGGGAGAGATTTTTTTTTTTTTTTGAGATGGAGTCTCACTCTGTTGCCCAGGCTGGAGTGCAGTGGTGTGATCTCAGCTCACTGCAACCTCCGACTCCATGGTTCAAATGATTCTCCTGCCTCAGCCTGCTGAATAGCTGGGATTACAGGCACATGCCATCACACCCAGCTAAGTTTTGTATTTTTAGTAGAGACAGGGTTTCACCATGTTGGCCGTGATGGTCTCGATCTCCTGACCTCGTGATCTGCCCGCCTCAGCCTCCCAAAGTGCTGAGATTACAGGCGTGAGCCACTGCACCCGGCCTGGTGAGAATTTTTAATAGGACATCTGTTGCCTCATAATATCAAAAATGGAATATTTGTCCACTGCTCTTAACCTACCTTATAAGTTAAAGAGAACTTATTCAGAATAGATTACAGAGTGTTGCCAGGAGGCCAGTACTCTTCTTAATGGGTATCACTTGTTAGGTCTTTTTTTCCCCCATGGTTTAGAGTAAATGAG
The DNA here is from genome assembly GCF_000001405.40 of Homo sapiens. Lineage (NCBI taxonomy): Eukaryota > Metazoa > Chordata > Mammalia > Primates > Hominidae > Homo > Homo sapiens. The sequence continues at coordinate 133,261 of NW_003315964.2, read as the reverse complement.
GCAATGGTTAAAAATTTATTCCCTATGCTGGCGCAGTGTCTCATGCCTGTAATCTCAGCACTTTGGGAGGCCGAGGCAGGCAGATCACCAGGTCAGGAGTTTGAGACCAGCCTGGCCGACATGGTGAAACCCCATCTCTACTAAAAATACAAAAATTAGTAGGGCGTGGTGGCGTGTGCCTGTAATGCCAGCTACTGGGGAGGCTGAGGCAGAAGAATCGCTTGAACCTGGAGGCAGAGGTTGCAGTGAGCTGAGATCATGCCACTGCACTCCAGCCTGGGCAACAGAGTGAGACTCTGTCTCGGAAAAAAAAAAGAAAAAAAGAAAAAAAGAAATTTATTCCCCATAATAGGGCTCTATAGCAAATTCTATTGTAAAGGCTATGGTTACACAATAGACTTTAATTTTTCTTAGTAAAATTGTGGTAAATAATAGAATTTCTCTAGATTATTTACTGGATAAACAGAGAAGTATCTGTGAAGTTGCTAATACTTATAGTTGCACATAGAGAAATTCACCAGGTATTACAGAGATTCAGTTGTAGGAGATTAGTGAATAGGCTGCTTGTTTGAAATGAGGAGAACATTTATGTAGCTAATTATTTGATCTATTTAATTTTAGTTGGTGGGTTCATGGGACCCTGACTAAAAAGCATACTTGAAACTTTTGGTTATTACCCCCAGATAGTCAAAATAGTAGTCTCCCTACTGCACTGTATTCTCTCAAAAGTTATTGAAGTTTGCATGCAGTTATCTCTAGAATGTGAAATAGTCTCTCTTTAACTGGAACCACAAAAAGTCAAATACATACGTGACCATGAGGACACCATAACCTATGAATGAACTGATAAAAACAAAAACCAAAAATAATAGAAACTGAGAGTGACACTAAGACCCTGAGTTTTAGTCACACTCTGACCTATTTGAGAACTTAACCAAAAGGTGGAAAATTTTTAAACAAAATTATTGGAGGCCATTATTCTGGACTGACCTTGTGCACTAGGCCCAAACAGACCAAATCAAAGTAAATGGAGTCACTCATGCTAAATGTGAAATAATCAAATTAAAAATTTAAGTAAATAGGTAGATCTTAAAACAGGGTAGGTTTTATTTTTATTTTGGAAACAGCAGATTTCGATACAAGATGGTCCCCTCTACTGCAACCCTAAAAAACAAATAACGTGAAGTCCTTGTTTCCACTTTTAAAACCCACAGTTCTGCTATTTCATAGTGGGATTTGAGACTAAATAAGTACACTTTTGATGGTGACAGAGTAATATCAATGTCTAAAGTTTTGGTCTATCTCTCAAAATTGAGAACGTGACCAAAAGGGAGAAATTGTTAAATTAATTATCTCTAAAGCTGCACCCTTTCCTGTTTAACTTTGGTCACTAGGTTTTTTTGTACATAGTAAACTGAAACCTAACTGGATATATAAATAGACTGTAACCCATTATTGTACCAACCACTGTGCTTCTGCCAATAAAAGAACATCAAGTGTTCAAATCATGATTAAATAAGGCAAATCCCAACCTGTAATCAATCTGGCTGTTTCTGTACCTCACTTTCATTTTCTGTATGTCACTTTGCTTTTGCTGTCTATCAATCTGTTTTCATCATGTGGCTGTGCTAGAGTCTCTCTGCGCCTACTCTGGATCCACAGGCTACCCAATCTGCAAATCATTCCATGCTCAATTGGACTCTGCTGCTCACGCCTGTAATCCCAGCACTTTGGGAGGACAAGGTGGGCAGATCACGAGGTCAGGAATTCGAGAGCAGCCTGACCAACATGGTAAAACCCCGTCTCTACTAAAAATACAAAAATTAGCTGGTCGTGGTGGCGGATGCCTATAATCCAGGTACTCAGAAGGCTGAGGCAGGAGAATCGCTTGAACTGGGGAGGCCGAGGTTGCAGTGAGCCAAGATCGCACTGCTGTGCTCCAGCCTGGGTGACAGAGCGAGACTCCATCTCAAAAATAAAAAATAAATTTAAAAAATTTATTAATTTCTCTAAAGATTTTTCCTTTTAATGGATTTCAACTATTTTCTATGATGAAAAATAAATAATGTGTTGTTGGTCTTTGATTTTCTAAACTCATCCTTCAGTTATTTCCCCAAATTATTTTATATCTTTTCAAAATGCTTCTCCAATTTTTTTCTTTCTTTTTTTTTTTTTGAGACAGGGACTCACTCTGTCACCCAGTCTTGATTGCAGTGGTGTAACTACTCATAGCTCACTGCAGCCTTGACTTTCCAGGCTTAAGCAATCCTCCTGCCTCGGCCACCTAAGTATCTGGGACTATAGGCATGCACCACCATGGGTGGCTAATTTCTTCATTTTTGTCATGGAAACAGAATCTTATTATGTTGATCAGGCTGCATTGGAACTCCTAAGCTCACATAAATCTCCCATATCAGCCTCCCAAAGTACTAAAAATACAGGTGAGAGCCACCGTGTGCTTCTGCAATTTTTGTGAGGATTATTCCCAAATGAGCACAAATCTAAAAGGAATCTGACTTCTACTATGGAAGTGTCACTCTCCAGGATTTCAATAGTCTAGGGCAGGGCAGCTACTTTAGTAGTGTCATCTATGGAGGTGCATGGGCTTTGGAGTCAGATAAAGTTGATCCTGAGTCTCAGCCCAGCCACTTAGTAGCCGTAGGACTTTGCACAAGTTTCCTGATGTGGAAGAGTTCTATATACCACATATGCAAAAAAGGTAGAATGATACTGATTGCAAAATGACATTTTTTCATCCCTCTTGTATCTTTGCCCATAACCAGGTGCTTTTACAGCTGTTTCCATCAAGATCTGGAATCTGTTTTCAAAGCCCTATATCTGGCTGACCTTATTTGCTCAGGTCAACAGAAACCTGTGAACATGACAGTGGGCCAGTTTGGGGCCCAGGCTCAAATGGTATTGACTGCTTCTCTTTTTCTTTTAGAATGCTGCCATCTCCATGAATAATGCCCATGTTAGCCAGCTGGAAAATAAGATACCATGAAGAGGAGAAGCAAGGTGCCCCTGTTGACAGACCCAGGAGCAGAAGCTCACCCCCAGATGCACAGCTGTCTAGTCAAAAAGCAGGTGATGATACATGTCTGAAGGAGCTCAGCTGAGACCAGAAGAATGGCCCCACTCAGCTCGGCCTAAATGGCCAACCATTTCAATTATAAACTAATAAGTTTTGGATGATTTGTTATGCCTCAATAGCTAACTAATACATGCACCCAGTACAGATAAGTTGCCAGGATTCAGTGACAGGTTGACTAAGAGTTGGCTTCTAACAGTGGACACCCTCTAGGTACTGATTTCTTCCCCTGATTTAAAGTTCGATGTTTTGTAAGAGAATTTTGGGTAATGCAGAAATACCTGTAGACATGTATGCGTGTGATTGGTGCTTAGACTCACATAGTCCCCCACACCACAGGAGAAAACAGATAAACACAGCCTGATTGTTAGGGCCAAGACCATATAGCAAACTATGTTTGTTTTTAATCTATTTTCTCCATCTCTAAATACTGGAGTTCAAGTGTGTGGACAGAACTGAAGACATAGTTGTTTTTTCTCCTGTGGCCCCATCATCCTTTGTTCACTATCTGGTCTCTAAAAGAAAGGTGGGCAACAGGTGGCCAGCAGTTGTTTATTACCTGTGGCTATTTTATTCCTACTGCCCTCAGCTCTTTCTATGGGAACTATCTGGTCCACCCTAGGAACCAAAGAGAGATGTTTGTAGGGAGAGTCTCTTCTTTCACTCTCGCAGGAAAGAGATGTTCAGGCCCTTCACACCGCTGACATCAGAGCTGCACTTCAATGTGACAGCTATTGTCCATGTGTGGCTACTGGGTTCCCACAATGTGCCTGGTCTGAAATGCGATATGCTAGAAAGGTAAAATACAAAGTCAGCTTCAAAGATTTAGTTCCAAATATTTATATATTTTATCAATAATTACATATTTCTCACACATTAAAATGATAATATTTTGAATATAATGGGTGAATTACATTGTTAACAATCAGTTCAACTTGTTTCTTTTTAAAGTTTGGCTACTAGAAAATTTCAAATCCACATGTGGCTGACATTCATTTTAGATGATTTTCTCTTTTCTAAAATCTCAGGCTGCCTGCTCAAAGGGCCAGAAGCCAGGAAGGTCATAAAAGCTGAAATTTTAAAATAATTGTTATATTCTTTTCACTTGTGTATAGCTATATAATGTATTATTTATTTATACATATGACCTTATACACAAATTTAAAGGCAAATACTCTCTGGGATGGGCCTAGCTCAGCTGAGGGAGGAAGCCCTGTCAGAAGAGGGGGCAGTCTAGGCTGTCACTCTTTCTTCATTGAACCCGCATCTGATCACATCTTCTGTCACTCAAAGCCTGACAGGGCGGGGATTTAAGCATTATCCAACCAGGGACGCTGGGCTGGAAACCGTCCAATCAGGCATGCAGCTGGAGCGGACTGGACGGCTTCCGGGTTTGGCGGGGTCTTTGTCTCTCGCTGTAGCCGGAGCTCCAGGTTTTGCTCTCACTTCTCTGTGTCTTCTGCTCCTAGGGGCCTAGCCTGTGTGGCCCTCTGACCTGCAGATATTGGGAGATCCACAGCTAAGACGCCAGGACCCCCTAGAAGCCTAGAAATGGTGAGAGTGCCCGGTCCGACATCCCGAGAGACGGCGAAAGGGCTGGTTGGAACTGGTGGGAAGTAGCTGTGGCGGGACTCAGGCCTCTCCGCAGTCAGCTTCACAATCTGCGCCTTGCCCAGCTCGGCCTCCGTCCCCTTCGGCCATAAGATGGCGGCTGCGCTGACAGCCAGGACCCCAGGCGTCCTTTCTCTTCCCTGCGTAGTGACTGTGCCTTGGCCTGGAGCCCTCTCTTGGCAGCTCTGCACCCGCAGCGCCGCGTCTCTCTCAGATTGTGCAGGGACCACGGGAGGGTCGTCAGGGGAAAATCCTGACTCGGGGTGCGGGTTCATGAATGGGAAGATCTTTGGTCCGTGGCTTTCCCAGTTCCTCTTTTCTCCTATTAAAAATGTATGGGAGTCACTGCACAAATATTAACGATTTTTTTGTTTGTTTGAGACGGAGTCGCTCTGTCGCCCAGGCTAGGGTTTAGTGGCGCGATCTCCCCTCACTGCAACCTCCGCCTCCCGGGTTCTGGAGATTCTCCTGGCTCAGCCTCCCGAGTAACTGGGATTACAGGCGCCTGTCACTGGGCCGGCCTTATTTTTTTGTATTTTTAGTTGGGACGGGGTTTCACCTCGTTGGCCAGGCTGGTCTTGAACTCCTGACCTCGTGATCCGCCCGCCTTGGCCTCCTAAAGTGCTGGGATTACAGGCGTGAGCCACCGCGCCTGGCCTAAAGAATTTAATCAAACAGTGATTCAAGAATCATAGAGTATCCAGCTATGGTTTGTAGTTTGTTGTCTATGGGAGAGGCTTGAAGGAAAGTCATTTATAAAATGTATGATGAAGAAAACTAAATTTAGTAATTGGTTACAGTAACGTAGTTTCTTGATTTGTACAATACAGGTGAAGATTTCCTGGTTGTGTAATCAGAGGTTAATTAACAGTTTATAGTTGTTTAAGCCTACATTTTCTCTGAATGTAGTAATTAAAAAAAAAATGCACCTGAGTTAGATTTTTTTTTTTTTTAAGTAGGAACCCAGGGACTAGAGACACCTCAGTGGAATTGCCTGTCTCTTAATTATTTTCACACTCCACGGGGAACTGATTTTCTGCTGCATTTTTCACCTGTGTCCCAAGCAGGTTGTTAAGTCTAACCCCCGTCCCCCATTTCTCCAGCCTCACTCTGGCTTGCAGTAAGATACTAAATTTCCAATTTCTTCTGGCGTTCCCAAATGTCAACTTTTCCTTCCTAATTCACATTATCACCTATTTGTCCTTTAGTGTACTTGTTTATACCATATTTTAATTAATTGTTTTTGACAAAGCATTAAATGGCGCTTTTAAGAAGATGTGTTATCCGCTTGTAAATATTTCCCACGAAAAGGAAACAAAGACTAATCCTCTGACACTGTATTGTAGAAAATCTCTGTGTCTCTTTTCCTTTTACCTTCTCTAGGCACAGAGATTTATCAGAATGTTTTTGGGTCAAGGTTTTGATTTGGAAAAATCTATGGGGTGATGTGTCCTCAGCCACCCTTTAGTTTTTTCCTGGTCCTGGGTTTCAGTACTATCTGTGGATAAACCGAGATATCCGCCATGGTTCTGTCAGCTAAAGTGCCTAGTGAATGTCAGCTTCTGGTTTATTTTCTCCCGTAGGATGACCCGAGGTATGGAATGTGTCCTCTCAAGGGAGCAAGTGGATGCCCTGGGGCTGAGAGGAGTCTTCTGGTGCAGTCTTATTTTGAAAAGGTAACCCCTTGAGACATTAAAATTGTCTTCACCCAACCCAGCTTTCATTTCTTGGAGACACGTTGCTGGTCAGCCAATCAGATGCTGGTATTGAGGGGAAACACAAAAATAATTTCTGCTCCCTGGATCATCTAAGGGGGGCAGAAAAATAGTGAAATAAATATAAAGAAAAATATTGGAAAAAAAAGTGAAAATTTTGTTACCAAAAAGTATTCCAAAAGACAAACAACAACAGAACTGACCCCAGTGAGATGGTGTAAGAGCTTGCAAAGTAAAATGCACCTGGGGCAGTCACTGGGGCATAATGCAGTGTCTTCTGAGTGGGTGGTTCTTGAGCACATAAGTGAGCAGGAGTGGGTGGAAGAATCTCTCCAGTGATTGAATGACCTGACTTGAAACATGAGTCAGACACATCTGTTATTTAATCAGCACTGCCACTACCTGGGTTTGTCACCTTGAAGATATTTGTCACTTATTTTGACCTCAGTTTTTTAGCTGTAAATTGCATTATATTAGTAGGGCTTGAAAGGTAGAAAAATATTTACAAAGGTCATGAAAGAGGTGGGTTTCAGAAAAAAATGTCTGATCATGTATTTCATTTGTCAAAAATTTGTTAAAAATTCTCATTTACTGTTTTTCCCAGAGTGAGTTAGGAATTTTCTCAGGTGTGTTTTTTTTATGGCTGAGTGATTTCAAACAGAATTTCAAGGCTTAGCTTTTAGAATGCTCCCAGGCAAAATCTCTCAATTTTAGTTTTGGAAAATGAATACATTTCCACAAGAAAATGTGGTGGATAATTGGTGAGTTACATAGATTCATTAAAACATCAGTTTCTTTTTTTTCAGGGTAAATTTGTGACAGTGAATATCTGTGTTCAGATCCTGTTACATTGATTTTTGAGTTTTATGCTAAATTTTATGAGATGAAACTCGGTACTGTTTAGAAGTGCTCCCATATGACTCATTGTTTACAAAATAATTTTAAATGGAATTAATAAAGTAATACGTTTATTGTCTGAAAGAAATAGATACTTTTGCTTTTTTTTTTTTTTCCCCACACGGAGTCTGGTTCTGTCACCCAGGCTGGAGGGCAATGGCACCATCTTGGCTCACTGCAACCTCCGCCTCCCGGGTTCAAGTGATTCTCCTGCCTCAGCCTCCTGAGTAGCTGCGATTAGAGGCGCACCACTATGCCCGGCTAATTTTTGTACTTTTAGTAGAGGCGGGGTTTCACTATGTTGGTCAGGCTGGTCTCAAACTCCTAACCTCGCGATCTGCCCGCCTTGGCCTCCCGAAGTGCTGGAATTACAAGCATGAGCCACCATGCCCGGCCTGATACTTTTGCTTTTCTTATTGAGGTATAAAATGTAAGCACCTTAAAATTCCCTTCCCTTATATGAACACTGCATTTTGCTGGATTTTTCAGACACTTAATTTCAACAACCAAGTGAATAACTCTTAACATGGAAATTAGAGCTTGGTCCCAGTGACTCAGAGCTAAGGCTAATATTGAGCCTGCAGAAGAAATTTAATAACGGCCTTGTTAGTTTTTTCTGGGGAGTCTCTCCTGCAGATGTCCCAGCCTTCTCACTGCAGCCATGGAAGAAGCCTATCTGCTGAGAGAAGCTACAGAGTCCTGGAAAGCTGGGGGCTCACAGGCAGATGCAGTTAAGGTTAACATAAAAGGGGATTGGGAGGGTCTTGCTGATGATGAAGTTGTTATTGTTTTAAGGCAGTTTCTAGACTTTGTAATGTATAACCAAGTTCAATTTATTTAAAAAATTTGAATTCCAAAAAAGTATTAGAACAGGAGGAATACCAACTATAAAAACTTTAAGAATTGCCAAGTTTAGGCAGACGAGGGCTTTCTTTCATACAGTGGAGCAAAAAAGATTAGAGAGAAGGTGGGAAGGGAATGGCAGTTGGAGATTGAAAAGGTTAGATTTTAGATTAGAGAATGTTTTACCCTGAAGTCAGCATGTTCTTAGGAGGGGCACAGAATGAAGTTTTAAGTTAGCTCAGATTGAGGGTAGCTCAAAGTTCAGGAGCCCACGTAAAATTTTACTTAGACCACTGAAGACAAATTTAGCTGATTTTTTTCCCCCCGGGATGGAGTCTTACTCTGTCGCCAGGCTGAAGTGCAGTGGTGCAATCTCGGCTCACTGCAACCTCTGCCTCCCAGGTTCAAGCGATTCCTTTGCCTCAGCCTCCCAAGTAGCTGGGAATACAGGTGCGTGCCACCATGCCCAGCTAATTTTTGTGTTTTTAGTAGAGACGGGGTTTCACCATGTTAGCCAGGATGGTCTCAATCTCCTTGTGATCTGCCCACCTCGGTCTCCCAAAGTGCTGGGATTACAGGCATGAGCCACCACGCCAGCCTTAGCCAATTTTTTTTCATGAGAAAAAGAAAAAATATGTGCAGAGATTTTACCGAAAAGGGTCCCAATCCAAACCCCAAGAGAGGGTCCTTGGATTTCACTCAAGAATCAAGGTGAGTCCATAAAGTGAAAGTAAGTTTATTAATAAGAAATAAAAGAATGGTTTACTCTACAGGCAGAGCAGCCCCAAGGACTGCTGGTTGCCCATTTTTATGGTTATTTTTTGATTATTTGCTAAACAAGGGGTGGAGTATTTATGCCTCCCCATTTTGGACCCTAAAGGGTAACTGCCTGATGTTTCCATGGCATATGTAAACTCTCATAGCACTGATGGGAGTGTAGCAGTGAGGATGACCAGAGGTCACACTCATCACCATCTTGGTTTTGGAGGGTTTTATCTCACTTCTTTACTGCAAGTTGTTTTATCAGCCAGGTCTTTATGGCCTGTATTTTGTGCTGATCTCCTGTCTCATCCTGTGACTTAGAATGGTTAACTATCTGGGAATGCAGGCCAGTAGATCTCAGCCCTGTTTTACCCAGGCCCTATTCAAAATGGATTTGCTTTGGTTCAATATGCCTCTGACATTTTCCCCCTCTATTATTATTGTTATTTTTTTAAACAAGGAAACCCTTAATCCTAAGGGTTGTAGTGGGACGAAGATCAATCTTCTGTTACTACTTCATGCTGAATAGAGGTGATGATATTCTTGCCTATTAGCGTCTTTTGTATTTGAGGTAGAGAGGAGCTCAATCAGAAAGCATCAGTTTGATGACGGCCATTCCTAACTCCCAGTTCCAACAATAGGTGATATCTGGAAGATTAATAAGTGTTCACTTTAAGAAAACACCCAGTAAGTTTATTCTGCATTTCTACACAAGGAGTAGAATGGCAATATATTCTACAACAGTAAAGCAAAATAAGCAAAATTCTTCCAAGGAAACTTAAGAAAGCTTTTCATGAACTGGGCATTTGTTGGAACCAAGCTGATAGGAAGTCGTGGCTGATTGTCATGTCTTCATAATTCAAACAGTAATCCAGATTTTTACATAATCCATCTTATGACACTGTTAGTAGTAGAAAGAGAAAGCTAAGCTTTGTGACTGTTTTGTTTAGGAGTGCTATTTTTTTTTCTTTTTTTGAGGCATAGTCTTGCTTTGTTCCCCAGGCTGGAGTGCAGTGGCATGATCTTGGCTTACTGCAACCTCTGCCTCCCAAGTTCAAGTGATTCTCCTGCCTCAGCCTCCTGAGTAGCTGAGATTACAAGTGCACACCACCATGCCCAGCTGATTTTGTATTTTCACTAACTCTTAACCTCAAGTGATCTGCCTGCCTTGGTCTCCCAAGTGCTGGTGAGCCACTGTGCTTGGCCTACTAGTGCTATTTTAAAAATATCTTTCAGATTCATGCTTTCTGACCGGCTCTAGCCACAGACTCAACTCTGTGAACTCTATTGTCTCCAAGATGTGAGCAAAGCAAGATCAGCAGGATGTAGGTTGGGAGTGGGTGGTGGATATTACCTGTTGTGTTAGCCACCAAATTAACATGAAGAAGTGAACTGCTATGGCTGGAAGATATGCCATCTTCAAGTTCAAAAATAACTGCAAATAAACATAAGACAATGTGAAGTGTGAACATAAAAAAAAAAAGTTTTAGTCTTATACTTGGCCCGATTATTTCTATAAAGTGTAGCAAGAATAATTATTTTTCACATAGGCCTTTTAAATTGGGTTTGATGGAACCTTGTTTCATAAAAGGAATCTCAGATAAGAAATTTTTTTATTTACCGCTAGCCAGGAACCCTGTACAGGGGCTGTGTAGACAAGGTATAATACCAGTTTTCCCATGGAGCTTTATTGGTTCTACAAGTCAAGTTTAGTTCATTAAAGCAAAGTATGTCATTCTAGTCAGAAGCCTTGGTAAAATAACAAGTTTCTCTAATTGTGTCCTGTTGTAAAAGAAAACAGTTTCTTATTGCACTTATATAAATAACTAAATTGTTTTAAGTTCAGAATACTCACAAATATTTTCCAAATTTTTTTCACAGGTGTATACTTTACTCAATTGTTAAAAGGTGTGAATAGTTCAAAAGAATAGTTTTTTTGACTCTGAAAAACAAAACAAAGGATCAGTGATGTTTTAGGCGAAGTCAAAAAATATTACTTCAGTCTTCTATTAGTTCAGTCCACTCAGTTAATTCCTGTTCTGTTTGATAGTCATGACCATTTTAGTTCTCCATTAGTATTGAAAGTTCTTCCTCAGGCCGGGCACGGTTGCTCACCCCTGTAATGCCAGCACTTTGGGAGGCTGAAGCGGGCAGATCACGAAGTCAGGAGATCAAGACTATCCTGGCTAACATGGTGAAACCCTGTCTGTACTAAAAATACAAAAAAAAATAGTGGGACATGGTTGCGGGCACCTGTAGTCCCAGCTACTCGGGAGGCTGAGGAAGGAGAGTGGCATGAAACTGCAAAGTGGAACTTCCAGTGAGCCGAGATCGCACCACTGCACTCCAGCCTGGGCGACAGAGTGAGACTCCATCTCAAAAAAAAAAAAAAAAAAAACAAGAAAGTTCTTCCTCTATTCTAATGTCACAATTTCTAATGTTATCAGAAACTTGCATTTAAGAACACCTATCATTGTCTTATAGTGGACTACAAATCATCTTTTGAAGAGGATCAACACAAGATGATTGTCTGGATGGCAAAGTCTTAGGGCAGTTACAGTAAAAAAAAAATTGACAAGGAAATTTGGTTAGCTCTGTGGCATACAATGATTTTAGGTAACAATGTAATTATTATTATTATTTTATTTTATTTTTTTTTAGATGGAGTCTTGCTTTGTCCCCTAGGCTGGAGTGTAGTGGTGCAATCTTGGCTCACTGCAACCTCCGCCTCTCAGGTTCAAGCGATTCTCCCGCCTCAGCCTCCCAACTAGCTAGGATTACAGGCACCTGCCATCACATGCAGGGCTAAGTTTTGTATTTTTAATAGAGACGGGGTTTCACCATGTTGGACAGGCTGGTCTTGAACTCCTGACCTCAGGTGACTCGCTAGCCTCAGCCTCCCAAAGTGTAATTATTAATAACATACACTTAGTCATATTAGAATAATAGCAATTTCCTTTTTTTTTTTTTTGAGACGGAGTCTCACTATTTTGCTCAGGCTAGAGTACAATGGCTCGATCTTGGCTCAGTGCAACCTCTGCCTCCCAGGTTCAAGCAATTCTCCTGCCTCAGCCTCCCGAGTTGCTGGGATTACAGGTATGTGCCACCACGCCCAGCTAATTTTATATTTTTAGTAGAGATGGGGTTTCTCCATGTTGGTCAGGCTGGTCTCGAACTCCCAACCTCAGGTGATCCACCCATCTCGGCCTCCGAAAGTGCTGAGATTACAGGCGTGAGCCACTGCACCTGGCCTGTACATTTATTAAGAAAGTGGAGATATAAGAGAATGGCTTTCTCCATAGGCTGGTTGCCCATTTTTATGGTTATTTCTTAATTTTATGGTAAACAAGAAGTGGAATATTTATGCCTCTCCTGTTTAGACCATTATGGTGTAACTTCCTGATGTTTCCATGGCATTTGTAAACCGTCATGGCACCGGTGGGGGTGTAGCAGTGAGGATGACCACAGGACACTCTCATCACCATCTTGGTTTTGGTGGGTTTTATCCCACTTCTTTACTGCAAACTGTTTTATCAGCCAGCTCTTTATGACCTGTATCTTGTGCTGACCTCCAGTCTCATCTTGTGACTTAGAATGCCTAACCATCTGGGAATGTAGCCCAGTGGTTGCAGCCTTATTTTACTCAGCCATATTCAAAATCGAGTTGCTCTAGTTCAATAGTCTGTGGCTATGTGATAAAAAAGAAAAGAGAGCACTGTGTAATTCATAATGGAAGAGTGTTTCTTTCCATAAACTGTTCCTGGAGAACACAGAGGATGAAAAATTTTATTAATCACAGCTATTTACCAGGGTTATCTATATGTTTCATCTTTCCCCACCTCTTCTTTTTGTTCTATACATTTCTTCTATTTGATTTTTCCTGGGTTGTATCTTTTATAATCTGTAAACATAGCTGCAGTGTTTTGCTGAGTTCTGTGAGTAGCTCCATCAAATTATTGAACTTGAGGAAGGTCGCAGGAGTCCTCAGTTTTTAAACAGTAGCCCAGAAACATAGATGGGCCTATGGGGTTTGTGACTGGCAACTGCAAAGAGGGCAATGTTATGAGACTAAACCTTGAATCAGGGTCTTTGCTGACTCTGCATGGTGTCAGAATTCGAATGTTAGACATTGAGTTGGTGCTAGAGAATTGCTTGGTATTCAGCAAACTCTGCAGTTTTGGTGGTAGAAGAAAGATATCATGGAGACCTGGCCTGGAATGGAACTCTTGGTGTCTTGGAGTGGGAGGCTCTGTTCTCGTCTAAAGGAGAACAAAGCCTTTCATTGTCGTGTGATTCCAGATCTTCTAGGGTAAGAGAGGATGAAAACTTAGAGGAAAGGAACTCTGATGACAGACCCCCTTGTTCCACAGCTATCACCACAGGATTCTGATCCACTCACAAACATACCCACTAGACATTGACGTGTCCACACCCCTCCCAGGACTAGTCACCACACTTGGGAATTTCACTACAGCGTTGTGGATCCTAGTATTTCTTGCCAAAAAGCCACAAAAGTGTCCACAAGTCTCCTGGCATATCCCAACCCCCAGACAATGAATCTGCAGCAGCAACCTGTTTTCTCCACCAGCCTAGGGTCCTGGACTACCTGTTCATAATCTTCTCTGCCTGCATGGACCCAGAAATAAATCAGAGTACAGCGCCACCTGGGCCACTGTCTGTAGAACAAACAATCCACTTACACTGCATTCTTCCCCACCCATGGATTTTCTTTTTCTACACGTGTACATGTGCAGGGTTGTTATATGGGTAAAATTGTGTCATGGGGGTTTGGTGTAGATTATTTTGTCACTGAGGTACTAAGCATAGCACCAAAGAGGTATTTTTTTCTGATCCTCTTTGTCCTTTCATCCTCCATTCTCAGCTAGGCCCCGTGACTGTTCCTCGTGTCCATGTGTTCTTATTATTTAGCTCTTACAAATGATAACATGCATTTGGTTTTGTGTTCTGCATGAGTTTTCTAAGGCTAATGGTCTCCAGCGCCATCCGTGTTGCTGCAGAGATCTTTATCTTGGTGGTGTTTGTTTTATGGCCACATAGTCTTCCATGTTGCTTATGTACCATATTTTGTTTCTATTAAATCTTTTCTTTATTTTTTTTTAAGACAGTGTCTCACTCTGTCACACAGGCTGAAGTGCAGTACAGTTGTGGCTCACTTCAGCCTCAACCTCCAAGGCTCAAGGGGTCCTCCTACCTCAGCCCATTAAGTAACTGGGACTACAGGCACACACTACCATGTCTGCCTAATTATTTTTATTTTTTGTAGAGATGGGGTTTTGCCATGCTGCCCAGACTCGTCTTGAACTCTTGAGCTAAGGCAATCCACCTGCCTTGGCCTCCCAAAGTGCTGGGATTACAAGAATGAGCTCTGTCATCTGACCATACCATATTTTTTTCAATCTAGGCTACCACTGATAGGCATTTAGGTTTATTCCATGTCTTTGTTATTGTAAACAGTGCTGAAATGAACATGCATGTGCATGTGACTTTATGGTAGAATAATTTATATTTCTTTGAATATATACCCAGTTAAGAGGTTGCTGGGTCCGATGGTAATTCTGTTTTTAGTTCTGTGAAGAATCGCCACACTGCTTTTCACAATGGTTGAACTAATTTACACTCGCACCAACAGTGTATAAAAGCATTCCCTTTTCTCTGCAACCTTGCCAGTATCTGTTAGTGACTATTTTTTTCCTTTGAGACAGGGTCTCACTCTGTGACCAAGGCTGGAGTTCAGTGGCATATCTTGGCTCAGTGCAACCTCTGCTTCATGGGTTGAAGCATTTCTCATGCCTCAGCCTCTTGAGTAGCTGGAACTACAGACATGCACCACCATGCCCTGATAATTCTTGTATTTTTAGTAGAGATGAAGTTTTGCAGTATTGGCCAGGCTGGCCTGAAACTCCTGATCTCAAGTGATCTACCTGCCTTGGGCTCCCAAAGTGCTAGAATTATAGGCATGTGCCACCTTGCCCAGCTAATTTTTGTATTTTTAGTGGAGACAGGGTTTCACCACGTTGGCCAGGCTGGTATCGCACTCCTTACCTCAACTGATCCACACCCACCTTGGCCTCCCAAAGTGCTGGAATTACAGGTGTGAGCCACCTCTCCCAGCTTGTTCCAGCACCATTTATTAAATAGGGAATTATTTCCTCATTCCTCTTGTCAGCTTTGTCAAAGATCAGATAGTTGGAGGTGTGTGGCATTATTTCTGGCCTCTCTATTGTGTTGCATTTTTCTATGCATCTCTTTTTGCATCAGTATTATGCTGCTTTGGTTATCGTAGCCCTGTAGTGTAGTTTGAAGAGGGTTAATGTAATACCTCCAGCTTTGTTCTTTTTGCTTAAAATTGCCTTGGCTATTCAGGCTTATTTTAGTTCCATATAAATTTTAAAATAGTTAAGTTTTAGTTCTGTTAACAATGTTTTTGGTAGTTTGATAGGAATAGCATTAAGTCAGTAAATTTCTTTGGGTAGTTTTGACATTTTAGTGATGCTAATCTTTTCTATCCATGGCATAAAATGGTTTTCCATTTGTTTATGTCATCTCTCACTTCTTTAAGCAGTGTTTGATCATCTTGTCATAGAGATCTTTCACATTCCTGGGTAGCTGTATTCCTCGATATTTGTGTGTGTGTGTGTGTGGCAATTGTGAATGGCATTATGTTTTTGATTTGGCTTTTGGCTTGGATGTTGTTGATGTACAGAGATGCTACTGATTTAGTATCCTGAAACTTTGCAGAACTTGCTTTTCAGTTTAAAGAGCTTTTCTGCTGAGACTGTACCAATTCTATGTCGAACAGGAGTTTTGAGGGAAGGCATCCTTGTCTTGTGCCAGTTTTCAAGGAGGAATGCTTCTCACTTGTGTCCATTTAGTATGTTGGCTGTAAGTTTGTGAAAGATGACTCATTATTTTGAAGTATGTACCTTCAATGCCTAGTTTGTTGAGGGTTTTAAACATGAAGGATAGTAAATTATATTGAAGGCTTTTTTAGCATCTATTGAAATAATCATGTGGTTTTTGTCTTTAGTTTTGGTTTATGTGATAAGTAACATTTTTTTCCTCTTTTAAAAAATTTCTTCTAAAAAAGCAGGGAGATACACTTGCAGAACATGCAGGTTTGTTACATAGGTATGTGTGCCATGGTGGTTTGGTGCGCCTATTCACCCGTCCTCTATGTTCTGTCTCCTCACCATTCACCCCTCAACAGGCCCTGTGGGTGTAGTTTCCCTCTCTGTGTCCATGTGTTCTCATTGTTCAGCTCCCACTTATGAGTGAGAACATGCAATGTTTTGTTTTCTGTTCCTGTGTTAGTTTGCTGAGGATGCTGGCTTCCAGCTTCATTCATGTTCCTGCAGAGGACATGATCTCATTCCTTTTGATGGCTGCATAGTATTCCATGGCTTATATGTACCACATTTTCTTTATCCAGTCTGTCATTGATGGGCATTTGGGTTGGCTCCATGTCTTTGTTATTGTAAATAGTGCTGCAGTAAACATACATGTGCATGTGTCTTTATAGTAGAATGGTTTATATTCCTTTGGGTATATACCCAGTAATGGGATTGCTGGATCAAATGGTAATTCTGGTCTAGATCCTTGAGGAATGACCATACTGTCTTCCACAATGGTTAGACTAATTTGCCTTCCCACCAAGAGTGTAAAAGTGTTACTATTTCTCCACAGCCTCACCGGCATCTGTTTCTTGACTTTTTAATCATTACCATTCTGACTGGTGTGAGATGTATCTCACTGTGGTTTTGATTTGCATTTCCCTGATGATCAGTGATGTTGAGCTTTTTTTTTTTTCTTTTTTTCTTTTTTCTTGAGACGGACTTTCACTCTCATTGGCCAGGCTGGAGTGCAATGGTGCGATCTTGGCTCACTGCAACCTCTGCCTCCTGGGTTCAAGCGAATCTCCTGCCTTAGCCTCCCGAGTAGCTGGGATTACATGCCCCACCATGCCTGGCTAAGTTTGTATTTTTAGTAGAGACGGGTTTCTCCATGTTGGCCAGGCTGGTCTTGAACTCCCGACCTCAGGTGATCCAGCCGCCTCGGCCTCCCAAAGTGCTGGGATTACAGGCGTGAGCTCGGCTGAGTGTATTTTCATGTTTGTTGGCCACATAAATGTCTTCTTTTGAGAAGTATCTGTTCATGTTTTGCCCACTTTTTGATGGGGTTGTCTTTCTTTTAAATTTGTATAAGTTCCTTATAAATTCTGGATATTAGACCTTTGTCAGATGGGTAGGTTGCAAAAATTTTCTCCTGTTCTGTAGGTTGTCTGTTCATTCTGATGATGGTTTTCTTTTGCTGTGCAGAAGCTCTTTAATTAGATCCCATTTGTCAAATTTTGGCTTTTGTTGCGATTCCTTTTGGTGTTTTTGTCATGAAGTCTTTCCCATGCCTTTGTCCTGAATGGTATTGCCTAGGTTTTCATTTAGGGTTTTTATGGTTAAACATTTAAGTGTTTAACCCATCTTGAGTTACTTTTTGTATAAGTTAATTTTTGTATAATTTTGTAAGGAAGGGGTCCAGTTTCAGTTTTCTGCATATGGCTAGCCAGTTTCCCCAGCACCATTTACTTAACAGAAGATCATTTCCCCATTGCTTTTGTCAGGTTTGTCAAAGGTCAGATGGTTGTAAATGTGTGGTGGTATTTCTGAGGTCTCTGTTCTGTTCCATTGGTTTTTAACATGAAGGGATGCTGAATTTTATCAAAGGCTTTTTTCTATTGAAATAATGATATGTTTTTAATTAAAAGAGTTTATTAACTTTTAATATAAACATGAGAAATAAAAACCACATAAATTGTAACATTCTTTTTAAAATAAAACAGCTATCAATACTTGACTCTCCAAGCTCTGAACTCCATAAACAATGTTTTGTTGTTTTTTTTTTGAGGTGGTAGATTGTAATATTTTTATACCATTATTTATCATTTATTTCTCTGCCCTTTAAAAATGATGGAAATTGCAGCACAATATGATGTGAAATATTGCTATAGTAGAGGAAGTATTCCTGGCCCAGGAATGCTTTGTTTATAAGCAAGATTCCTAGGATTAGATTTGAGTAAGTAGGAGAAATAGATTTCACATAATTGAGAACACTAATCTCCTTTTAGTTTTTCAAATTTAGATGGCATTATCAGTCTCCTAAAATTATTTGTTCCTTGCCTTTTAAAGCCTGAAGTAAGTGTTCCTAAGGGTTATGTAAGTTATTTCTTAAATAGCAGGACTTAATGGGACACCTACAGGTTGGTAGCATGTAGGATGATAAAACAGCTGTTCATATCACCTTCTATCATTAGGGCCCAGTTCCTTTTATTACATGTTAATTAACAGTGCTCTTCAAAATCTTCCTTTAAATTAAAGAAACTTCGGTGATCAATGCATATAGAGCACAGCTCTGCAAGTAATTCATTTTAAAAAGAGAAGGGCATTTTATGGAGATACAAGATATTCCAAAGGTTTAATGTAATTTTAAGCTTTGATACTTGTAGAAGTGCTACAAACCTTCATAAAACCTTGCCTGAATGTTTTTCTTTTCCTTCTTTTGAGATAGGGTCTGGATGTCGCCCAGACTGGAGTGCAGTAGCATGATCATGGCCCACTGCAGCCTTGACCCCGCAGGCTCAAGTGATCCTCCCACCTCAGCCTCCAGAGTAGCTGGGACTACAGACATACGCCACCATATCCAGCTAATTATTTTTATTTATTATTATTTTTTACAGACAGGGGCTCACTGTGTTGACTAGACTGGTCTTGAACTGCTGCGCTCAAGTAATCCTCCCACCTCAGCCTCCCAAAGTACTGAGATTATAGGCATGAATCACTATGCCCGGTGCATTTCTTTTGCATTTAATTTTGCATTTTTCTAAGAGATGGGGTCCCGATATGTTGTCCAGGTTGAAGTGCAGTAGCTATTTCTATAGGCACCATCACGATACACTGCAGCCTCCAATACCTGACCCCAAGCAATCCTCCAGCCACCCAAGTAGCTGGAACCTCAGGTGTGCACCACCACACCCAGCTTCATTTTGAGAATTTTGAATATAAAGCTTTTAATTTTTTGCTTCAGTCAAGAGTGACTTCAAGAGTGACTGAAACAAAAAATCAAAAGCCTAACATTCAGGAGACAAATGCAGGGTGCGCCTGCAGTCCCAGCCACTCGTGTGGCCGAGGCTAGAGGATGGCGCGAAGCCAGGAAGTTCTAGGCTGCAGTGCACCATGACTGCACTGGTGAACAGCCACCATACTCCAGCCTGGACAACACAGCAAGACCCCCATCTCTTAAAGAAAAAAAACAAAACTCTCAAATGATGTTTTTCAAAGGTTTATAGCATTTATACTCCTGCTGCAGTACCTTGGAGGGCCCAAACTATATTAAAGCTTAAAACTGCTTTACTTTTTTTTCACTGTCACTGAACCACCATGTTCATTGGCATTATGAAAATATCTTTTAATACATTTATTTAATAAGATAAAAATTATCAGAAAATGAGAAGTACCATTTATAGTTCACAAGAAATGCAACATGGACCCCAATAGAAGTAGATATCATAACTGATACTTCCTTTGTTTATGACCGCAGACATGCTAAAATGCTAAAGTAATGCTTGCAAAGAATATGAATGACAAATGTTATCCATCAGCTTTTTGGTTTAAAATGATTGCCAATGACTAGCAGCTTTAATGGTAACAGTAGGGAGGAAGAACCCTTCAATACCTAACAATGCTGCAGTCTGCTCCTAAGTGGCTTTAGTTAGAGTCCCTTGTTTTAAGGGCAATACTGCATTGATTCTAAAGGCATATGCAGCAAAATGAGCAGGGGGAGAAAAACTGGAAGAAACATAAAAGTTATATGGTTAATGTCTTTAAAGTCTAAAAATTTAAACTATTGTTTAAAAAACCTAACATAGTTCAGTTACTGGCCCACATTGTAAGCAAATATCTGTGTGTGGGATGGGAGCCTTCACTTTGGAGTGGTTTTGGTGACTCTGTTTACATTAAAAAGGACAGAAGAGTGTTTTGTTGCATTGACAAGGTCCCATTCTTTTCTATGGAGTATGATCCTTGTTGTCCGTGCGTCTCTTGAATTTGAGATCTTTCCTTTTGATGAAAACACTAATTTTGCTGGTTTTTGAGCAGGAAAGGTGGTATTTCTCCAGTCTTTGTAGATGAAGGTCCCGTGACATTATAACCCCTCATTTCTCCCTTTAAGAGAGGATGGCTTTAGAGTGCTGAATACCAATGAAGTTGATCAGCGCTGAAAGACCTTCTTACAGCTGCTCCACACAAGTCTTTGTCTTCACATAATCTAGAAATAGCCTCTAGGTTCTGTGCTCTTTCTTTGCTAAGAGGAGCAAATAGAAAATTCAGGTGGTCATCTGCTAAGGAGCGATGGTCAAGGTAGTGTTTGGCATAAACACTAGCAGGAACATTAATATTAAACTGAAGAAGCTCCGAAAAATGCCTTTCCATTTCATTCATGTCCTCAACTGTAATGTCCTTGAGGATCTGGCAGTAGTCCACATTCCATACAGCCTGATCATCCCAAACCTTGGAGGCAAGAAGAGTGGCTCCCAGAACAATCCTTTTCTAGTTAGTGGGGCAAATGTCGATTTCAGCATAAGTTAAAAGCCTTTCTAAGTAAACCAGAGTTACTGTTGCACATTCAGCTGTTAGCTGTGCAGCACTAAAAAGAGTATGAACAAATCTGTAAATAAATTTGTGCTCAGGATCATGCTTAAACTATTCCTGTGGAACTTTTTCTCGTGTGAGGGGATGTGATCTCTCATCAAAAATATCCAGGGATCTGTTTGCATCTCTGTTCTTTATGTGGTAATATATTTCTAAGGTCACATTTTACTGTGGTTCTAAGGTTAGGCTGGCTGACTGTTCTGTCACCTAGAAATATTGTTGAGCATGAGCTATACTTTTTAGTAAGCTGCCCTGGAGATAGATGATTTAAGTGGTTGCTCTTCCTCTTGTCTCGCACATCGGTTTGAGATTTGCTCAGGAAACTTGTGCTTGCCCTTGGATGGTCAGAAGGGTTTGACTCCAAAGCTAAATCTTAGGGCATCTCGTGGTCGCTGATGTGCTGCAGGTGGTGGCCCTCGCCCGCTGCGAAATCCAACTGGTAGGCTCCACAGAAGCGGGCGCTACCGCCACCGCATCCCCGGGTGCCGCCTCGTAGATGTCGGTTGCGCAGTACAGCTCTGGCACCACGCACCGGCCCAGCTTGAGGCTGGTACTGGGGGGACACGCAATAGGTCAGCGTGTTCCCCATGGGGCGTCTCTGCTCCTCTGGGCCGGGGCTGGCGCCTTCTCTAGCCCCCTACTCGCCGCCCTCAGCAGCCGCCCCTCCCCCAACAATGGCGCAGCCCAGGCTGCACCCGCGCAAGCAGGTGCCTCCTCGCTGGCAGTTCACCCGCCCACCCCGCGACCCGCCCCGGGCAGGGCTCCGGCCTCCCTGCACGCTCGCCGCGCTGCCGCTGCCTCCGCCTCCCCAAGCTGACTCATCTGGAGATAATTATGTGTTTTTCTCTTTCGTTCTCTTTATGTGATGGATTACATTTATTGATTTACATATGTTGAACCAGCCTTGCATCCCAGGTATGAAGCCGACTTGATAGAGGTGGATAAGTTTTTTGATGTGCTCCTGGATTCGGTTCTCCAGTGTTTTATTGAGGTTTTTCACATCAGTGCTCCTCAGGGATATTGGTCTGAAGTTTTCTTTTTTTATTGTGTCTCTTCCCAGTTTTGGTATCAGAATGATGCTGTTTTTATATAATGAGCTGAAAAAGAAGTCCCTTTTTCTCAATATTTTGAAATAATATTAGAAGTGGTACCAGCTCTTCTTTGTACATCTGGTAGAATTAATCTGTAAATTTGTCTGGTTCTTTGCTATTTGTGATTGGTGGCCATTTAAGACCAATTCAGTTTTGGCACTTGTTATTGGTCTATTCAGGGATTCAATTTCTTATTTGTTCAGTCTTTGGAAGATGTATTTTTGCTCCAAGGTTACAGTCCTCAAGCTTGGCCCAGATGAACTCTCTACTTATATTCATGTTGCCTCAGTTTTTTCTTTTAGTTAGACATATTATTTAGAATGTGCCAGAGCAGCCTCTATGAGGGGAGCTCTCCTTTGATTGTAGTCTGTTTGCTGTAACACCCAAGGATGCAGAGTCAGATTGATCCCACCTAGAATCTGCACATAAGGTCTGGCCTCTGCCTAGGATTTACAAGACAGGGCCAGAAGACTTTGGATTGAGAATGTACTGAAAACCAACAGAAGGCATTTTCTGTATTGTGAGATGTCAGTGTAGAAATCTTGAAGCCCCCATTTGAGAGTGTGGCTCTTCAAGCTTTTCAGATCTTGTTTAGTGAGTGACCTGCTACAGTTATGTGAGAGACTCCAGGTATAAATAGAATTTGATGACAGAATCTGTAAGTGTAAACGAGCATCTTAAGAGTGAGAGATCAAGGCCACAAAGTATCCAGAGCCATGACCACAACTATACCTACCTGTAAAATATGATACTGGAGTAGAGTATTCTTGTCCTTCTTCTTACCCAAAAGCTAGCAAGTCAGGATAGGTGATGCAGGTTCTGGAGCTCCACCAAGGCAGTTCCATTTTCTATTTAGAATCAGCATGAATCTCTCTCAGCCTGGCTTATCACTGGGCCATCAGCCCAGGGTCAGTAAGAACCTTCTCACAATCACCTAGATGTCTTTGAGACATTTGAGGATGTCCAGTGCAGAATTGTTTCAGGCTGACGAGTGGTTAATTCTGCTTCTGTCTCGGTGTAAGAGAAATGAGTCATTCTGTTTTTTTTTTTTCTCCCTTCATACTCATACAAGAGATAACTTTGGTTGGTACCCAGATGAGAGTTTCTCTAGTTTGCTGTTACTTTGGTGAAACACAAAGAGGAGGTCCGGTGACTCAAAAGATAAACTAATTGCTTCCATTTCATAAGGTCATTCAAAAAATAGATGAAGCAGTCACGGTCCCTACCATCCAGAAACTTTTGCTCTAGACTAGCAACTGGATACACGGTTGAATTAAACATCATATGGTTGGTACGGTGAATAGATGTGTGCAAAGCAAAACAAAACTTTGGCCTCTTCAGTCGGGAGCAGTGGCTCACGCCTGTAATCCCAGCACTTTGGGAGGCCGAGGCAGGCGGATCACCTGAGGTTGGGAGTTCGAGATCAGCCTGAACAACATGGAGAAACCCTGTCTCTGCTAAAAATACAAAAAATTAACTAGGCGAGGTGGTGCATGCCTGTAATTCCAGCTACTTGGGAGGCTGAGGCAGGAGAATCACTTGAACCCAGGAGGTAGAGTTTGCGTTGAGCCAAGATTGTGCCATTGCACTCCAGCCTGGGTGACAAGAATGAAACTCCATCTCAAAAACAAAACAAAACAAAAAAACTTTGCCCACTTCTTTTTATATTGTTGTGTCTTCTGAGGTTATCACCTGAAGGGATATTTATGGACTGAAGAGTTGTTAGTATTATTTGTGTATCTTTTACTTTGTTAGAATACATACTTATCTTCTAATGAAATTATTCCAGAAAACTTTAAAAGAGTCATTTAAATTGCCTGTTAGTATAGTTATAAAATTGACAGAGCAGTGGCAAAAATAGATTAAAGTTACATAAACTCTAGGATTTAAGTTTTTCTTAGGTAAGCTTAGGAAAAACAGAACTGGAAATACTCCAGTGGCAGAGAACAGAATTCTCCATAGGGTCCTTTCCCTGCCCCAGTTCTGTTCAGATTCACCCTTTTTGAAGGCCTTCTTTAGGTCTGGCCCACTTTGGAGTCTTGCCTTACAGAACTGATTTATAAAGGTCAGAGTTTTGGCCGGTAAATCCTTCTGCCTTTCTAGAGCTGGTGCTTACAATTTCCTGCAACCCAAAAGCAGATAAATAAGAAAAATAAACTATACATTTTAACATCTTATTTTTTTAAATTTTGTATTAAAACCAGTGCTTACAGAAACATTCCATTTAGCAGCTTGTTTTCTATTCTTGCAGATCCAGTAGTTGCTCCACAAGTCACAGACAAGTAAATATAAATAGAAAAAAATTTCTTAAACTCTTTCTATGCCCCCTCCTCTGTCTATATTTAGCCTTATTCTGTACATTTTTTTAAAAAATCAATAACAGAGAAACAGAGGAAGAAGTAATAATGCTGGGCCCTTTATCTAAATCCTGAGAATTACTGAACACTTAGTATCAACTTCCAATGTGTTATGGGGATTAAATCACATAATATGTTATGCCCAGCACAGTGCTCTATATTGTACTCTTGAGCACATAGTACCTGCTTAATAATTATTGCATTAGTACATGTGTACATGTTGTTTTCCAAATGCAGACTTATTCCAACATTGCTGCCTTTTGTTTCCTCTGTAAACTTTAAAGAGCCAGCAAATAATATAAAACTTCAGGATGGAGTGTGGTTGTCTTCATTTGTACCAGAAGTATTTGTGTTGTGACAAGAGTGCTGAATGTCAGGGACTCTGTGCGGTGCCTGCTTTCTCTCACTAATGCTAATGATGAGCCTGGGGGAGCAACATCAGCATTGGCAGGGGACTTGTTTGAAACACCCATTCATGAACCCTTTCCAAACATGCAGAATCACATTACATAAAGTGGGACCAACATTACCAAGTGATTTTTGAGCTCATTAAAGCTTGAGAGGCAATGCTTAGCTAAGTGGTTATCAGCCCAGGCTTCTCATTAAGATCACATGACCAGTTGGCAAAAATCTCTTGTGCCTTCCCCACAGCTTCTGTTTATTGTTGTGGGTGGAAGCATCCATGTTATTTTAATGAAGTGCCTCATGTGACTCTAAGGTGAGGCCAGAATGAAGTATGAGGGCTTCAAGATACATTCATGAGAGTTAAGTGCCACCTTTGCACTAAAGGGTGGTTACGATACCTGTTCTGTTTGGGTTTGGTAGGGACAGGGCAGTGTGGCCCATATGTTCATTACTGTAGCAGAAATTGCTGGTGTTTGTGGCAGGGGAGGGCACCTGAGACAGGAAAGGAGAAACTTACATTTTTACATCCATGGAGCAGCACATTTTTCCTGAATCTCCTCTGTTATAAGGGAGAGGTATGGGTGGACTTTTTGGTCTTGGTCCTTCTGTCTGTGGGCGTGGTGCTAGCAGGTAAGAAGGTGGTGCTGACACATTTAAGGCAGTTTTCTCAAGATGTAGATGTTACTTCTTTAGAGAATTTCATCTGAAAAGGATTCCAAGAGAAGAAGGAGAAAGAGGAAAAATGATGTTTTTTTTTCTTCAGCTAAGTAAGTCTCACATCAAGAGCTTTGTCCACTCTTTTCTAGAGTCTCATGCATTTAGTATTTGCAAACCTTTACTTCTCTACTTGTGTTTTTCCTTACTAATGAGTTTAACTACTTTTTAAAATTCTAATGATAGTCAAGGGTCTATGCAAAATATTTCTTTCCTATGTACTAGAGCCTTCTCTACATTCTCAATATCATGGCTTCTTATATGCCATGCAGAATTCCTACCATGAATTTATGATCTGCACTATTAAAAATGTTCCCATTGTGGCTGTTGAACATGGAAGGATGTGGATACTCAAGATTCCTATTGGGGAAAGCTGGGGTTTACGTGGAGAATATGTAATGTTGAGGTTCCATCTGTGTTCTCCATTAGCTCTATGCAGAACAGGATTAAGAAAATACTTACTTAAATAGGATGGCATTTATTACCCAGAAAGTTCTGAAAAAAGATTGAGAGATACCTGCTATATAGGGTGCTGAAGAAAGACTACTTAAAATCATTATTGAAAATTACAGAACATTGGAGATACCTGTATCTTGAACTTTGCATAAAACTGATGTTTCTGTATGATTGAATTCAGAATATAATTTACTTTTGGAGGGGCAATATCTAGGCAATGATGCTATGTTCTTCTATGTGCATAAGCACAACATAAAAATTCGTCCTACTATGGTTGATATTAATAATTTACTTGGTTAAAAAGCTCTCTGATATTTCTTTCACTACAGAGTTAACTATTTTTCTTGTCATTATTAGGCATCTTTATGCAGTTAATGTGCATAAGCCATCACATTTAATCTGGCAGCTGCCCTTTTTTCTTATGTTTTCTTTGCATGTAGCTGTCTTTGGAAAATGAAGGCTCTTTGTTTTACAGGCCAGAAAAATCTGGTAAAACACAGGCTCTTCCACTTACTGGATGTTTCACAGAATTTTCTTTTGGGGCCAAAAACTTTGGCATTACTAGTGAGCTCGTTAGAAATTCAGAAACTCGGCCGGGCGTGGTGGCTCACGCCTGTAATCCCAGCACTTTGGGAGGCCGAGGCGGGTGGATCATGAGGTCAGGAGATCGAGACCATCCTGGCTAACAAGGTGAAACCCCGTCTCTACTAAAAATACAAAAAATTAGCCGGGCGCGGTGGCGGGCGCCTGTAGTCCCAGCTACTCGGGAGGCTGAGGCAGGAGAATGGCGTGAACCCAGGAAGCGGAGCTTGCAGTGAGCCGAGATTGCGCCACTGCAGTCCGCAGTCCGGCCTGGGCGACAGAGCGAGACTCCGTCTCAGAAAAAAAAAAAAAAGAAAGAAATTCAGAAACTCAGACTTCATTCCAGATCTTCTGAAAAAAAATCTGCACAAGATTTCCAGTTTATTGTAAACATTAAAATTCAGGAGGTGCCTTCTAACTCAACATCTCTTTTTTGTCTGAAAAATATACACAACTCATTCTTTATGATATAAATAATAACACTCAAAAATGTATATGTTTGTGTTTATGCTCTTAATTTTATACTTTATCTAGAAAAGTGTCATATATACACTGGTGTTGTGGATCTTATGCCATTCTCTTCTCTCAGAATTAGAGAATATTTTAGAGAATATTTCTGTGTTAAAAATTATTGGAAAATTTGTCATTTCTATTAATCAGAACCAATTCTCTTTGCTCTGTCATTTCATTTTAATTCAAATAATAAATTCTGCCCATGGCCACTTGGTAAATATATGTGTGTCTCTGTGCTTGTGCTTTTCAGGGGCCATTGACGTTTAGGGATGTGGCCATAGAATTCTCTCTGGAGGAGTGGCAATGCCTGGACAGTGCTCAGCAGGGTTTGTATAGGAAAGTGATGTTAGAGAACTACAGAAACCTGGTCTTCTTGGGTGAGAATAACTTTAATACACAATTTCTAATATACCGTAAAGGTTTCTCTTTTTTTGTGGAATGATTTTTGGTAATTCATGCTTTGCATAAATGAGTTTCTGATCCGTTTTTTCAAGAAAATCTTGAGGCTGTGTGTGGAAAAGAATGTATTCAAGATGTTTCATCTTGACCTGAACTTTCCATATTCCTGAGCTGATCTGTATCCTTCACTCTAGATTAGTGGTAATTCCAGAAATTTAGTGTCATAAAATATTGTTGCCCATGTTTTTAGGCCGGGCATGGTGGCTCACTCCTGTAATACCAGCACTTTGGGAGGCTGAGGCAGGCGGGTCACGAGGTCAGGAGTTTGAGACCAGCCTTGCCAACAAAGTGAAACCCCATTTCTACTAAAAATACAGAAATAGCCGGGCATGGTGGCAGGCGCCTGTAGTCCCAGCTACTCAGGAGGCTGAGGCAGGAGAATTGCTTGAACCCAGGAGGTGGAGGTTGTAGTGAGCCGAGATCATGCCACTTCACTCCAGCCTGGACAATAGAGCGAGACTCCGTCTCAAAAATAAATAAATGTATATATATGTACATATATATTTGCCCATATTTTAAAATCCATTCATCACCACCAATTTTTTGATTCATGAGTACCGGGTAGTGAAATTAAGAACCTACAAATTTAAAATATTTTCTAAATATTTAGAAATTTCTCTCATTAATTAGTACGTTAGGATTAATTTTCTAGAATATTCTATCACCTCCTCTTTACTAAGCATAGTACTAGGTTGGTAATTGGAGAATATGAGAAAGATTCATGTTATTTATTTCTAATAAAGCAGGTATTGCTCTCACTAAGCCAGACCTGATCACCTGTCTGGAGCAAGGAAAAGAGCCCTGGAATATAAAGAGACATGAGATGGTAGCCAAACCCCCAGGTAGGTGAGAGTGAACACAACAGATGACACAGATGTGAGGTCCAAAGGTCAAAAAGAAAGCTGGTCATTAAAATGTGGTTTGGGAAGCTATGTTCCAAAGGAAATAGTTTCTGGGATGCCTGAGTGTTTTTGTTTTTTGGGCTTTTTTTTTTTTTTTTTTTTTGGCTGTCACGTAGGGGCATCTTCTGTCTTATGCTTTTAAATTCTTTAAAGATTCTACTTTCCTTTTGGTGATCTTCCTTCAGGTTTACAGTGAGAGCCAGAGTCCTTTTCAAGGCATATAAAAGACTGCACAATCTCCCTACTTTTCCATTATTTGGGGGGACACACAGATATCTGCATAATTTTGGGAAACTCTATGTTAAACTATTTTTTAGTTCTCTTTTTTCATCATGTCTGAAATGTGTGAAAGTAGTGTTTTCTGTTCCGTTGTTTTGTTTGTTAATCTTTTTGCACATTCCATCCTGTTTTTATTACTATATTCTTGAAATATAGTTAGAACTTATAAAGTATAATACCCCTCTGCTTTGTTCTTTTGCCTCAAGATTGCTTTGGCTATTTGAAGTTTATTGCAGTTTCTTATAAATTTTAGAATTGTATTTTTTATTACTGTGGAAAAAAATGCCACTGGAATTTTAATAGGAAGTTTATTGGAGCTATAGATTACTTTAGATAATATGACACTTTAACAATATTTATTCTTTCAATCCATGGACATGAAATATTTTAAAATTTGTGTCTTCAATAATTTATTTCATTGATATATCTTTTTTGTTTTGTTTTGTTTTTTGAGACGGAGTCTCGCTCTGTCATCAAGTTGGAGTGCAGTGGCGCGATCTTGGTTCACTGCAACCTCCACCTCCTGGGTTCAAGCAATCTTCCTGCCTCAGCCTCCTGAGTAGCTGCGACTACAGGCACATGCCACCACGCCAAGCTAATTTTTTTAATTTTTAGTAGAGATGGGGTTTCACCATGTTGGCCAGATGATCGTGATCTGTTGACCTCTTGATCTGCCTGCCCCGGCCTCCCAAAGTGTTGGGATTACAGTCGTGAGCCACTGTGCCTGGTCTATCTTATATCTTTTATTGTAAAGATTTTTTTTACCTTCTTGGTTAAATTTCCTCTCAGAAATTTATTATTTTAATGCTATTGTAAATAAGATTGTTTTCTTTATTGTATCAGATGGTTAAAATGTATGGAACAGTAGTTTATACTTGTATGTTAATTTTATATTTTGCTAATTTACTGAGTGTATTTATTACTTTAGACAAATTTCAATGTAGTGTTTATGGTTTTTTTATATATAAGATCATATGATCCACAAAAAGTAACTTATTTTTCTTCAATTTCAGTGGCTTTTTAAAAATGTTTTTGACTCATCATTCTGCCACTTACTTCCAGTCCTACGTTAAAATAGAAGCATTGACAATGGGCACAATATAGTTTTGCATTGGTGTCTGTGAATTTGATGGAGGAAATACCTCTTCAACTTTTGTTTTTTGTTTTTTGTTTTTTGTTTTTTGAGACGGCGTTTCACTGTTGTTGCCCAGGCTGGAGTGCAATAGCGCGATCTCAGCTCACTGCAACCTCTGCCTCCCGGGTTCAAGCAATTCTCTGTCTCAAAAAAAAAAAAAAAAAAAGAAAAAGAAAAATTAATGGTTGTAAAAACACGTAACATAAAATTTACCATCTTAAATCTTTTTTTTTTTTTTTTGGGTGGGGGACAGAGTCTTGCTCTGTCGCCGAGGCTGGAGTGCAATAGCGCAATCTCGGCTCACTGCAACCCCCACCTCCTGGGTTCAAGCAATTCTCCTGCCTCAGCGTCCCGAGTAGCTGGGAATGTAGGTGCCCGCCACCACGCCTGGGTAATTTTTTCTATTGTTAGAAGAGACAGAGTTTCACCATGTTCTCCAGGTTAGTCTTGAATTCCTGACCTCAAGTGATCGCTCTGCCTCAGCCTCCCAGAGTGCTGGGATTACAGCATGGGCCACCGCGCCCAGCCTACCATCTTAAATTTCTTTAAGTGTACATTTCAAGGCCAGACATGGTGGTGCCTCACAGCTGTAATCCCAGGATTTTGGGAGGTCAAGAAAGGAGGATCACTTGAGCCCAAAAGTTTGAGACCAGCCAGGGCAACACAGGGAGATTCCCTTTCCACAAAATTATTTAAAAAATTGCCAGGCATGGTGGTATGCACAAGTGGTTTCAGCTACTTGGGAAATTTGAGAGAAGAGAATTACTTGAGCCTGGAAGTTTGAGGCTGAAGTGAGCCATAATTGTGCCACTGCACTCCAGCTTGGGTGACAGAGTGAGACTGTCTCAAAAAAAAAAAAAGTTTTACATGCCAGGCGTGGTGGCTCATGCCTGTAATCCTAGCACTTTGAGATGCTGAGGTGGGCAGACCACCTGAGGTCAGGAGTTCAAGAGCAGCCTGACCAACATGGTGAAACCCCATCTCTACTAAAAATACAAAAATTAGCGGGGCCTTGTGACAGGTGCCTGTAATCCCAGCTACTCGGGAGGCTGAGGCAGAAGAATTCCTTGAACCTGGGAGCCAGAGGTTGCAGTGAGCCAAGATTGCCCCTTGCACTTCAGCCTGGGCAACAAGAGCAAAACACCGTCTCAAAAAAAATAATAATAATAATAATTGCATTTTAGCCATGTTAAGTATATTCACATTGTTATGCAAAAGACTTACAGAAATTTTACATCTTGTGAAATTAAAACTAAATACCCATTAAGTAACAACAACCCATTTTACCCTCTCCCCAGCCCTTGACAAACACCCTTCCACTTTCTGTTTTTATGAGTGTGACTATTTAAGATATCTCATATAAGTGGAATCATACAGTGTCCATCATTTTGTTTCTGGATTATTTCAGATGACATAATATTCTCAAAGTTTGTCTTAAAATTGACAAGATTTTCTTCTTTAAGTCTGTATAATATTCCATTTTATGTATATGTTACATTTTTGATGTGTTCATAAATCAAGAGACACCCGGGTTGCCTCAGCCTTTTGACTTTTGTGAGTACTGGTACAATAATCATAGATGTTCAAATATGTCTTCTAGGTCTTTTGTTGCATATTTTGAATATAGATTCATTAATGGAGTTGCTGTATTTGATAATAATTCCACTTTTAATTATTTGAGAAATGTAACATTTTAAAATAATGACTGCAACTTTGTTTTCTACCAACAATCAACAGAGGTTTCATTTTCATTGCATCATCAACAGAGTTGGCGTCTTTAAAAAATTTATAGTGGCCATTGTAATGGATGTGAGGTGATTTCATTTTTCATTTTTATTTTTACGTGTTTCTCTACAAATTATTAATTTGTAATTTGGTCAGGCTGGTCTTCAACTCCTGACCTCAGGTGATCCGCCCACCTCAGCCTCCAAAGTGCTGGGATTACAGGTGTGAACCACTGCACCTGGCCCGAATATTAACTCTTATCACATGTGACTTGCAAATATTTTCACCCATTTCTTATGAGGCATTTTTACACAGTTGAATGTTTTTTTTTTCTAATGTGGATAAATTTTGAAGTAGCGTGTAGTTAAATTTTTCTGTTTTTCTGTTGTTGCTCATGCATTTAATGTTGTATCTAAGAAAATGGTGCCAAGACCCATGTCATGACTTTTTTCTATTTTGTTCTAAGAGATTCGTTAGTTTTTTTATGTAAGTATTTTATTGAAAACATTTTTTATATACGGTTCAAGGAAATGATCCAACTTTATCAGTGTTGACATTTAGTTCTTAACATTTTTTGAAATGATTATCTTTTCTCTATGGTGTGTTCATGGCAGCTTTGTGGAAGATCATTTAATCATATACACAAGGGTTCATTTCTGAACTCTCTATTCTGCTCTTTCATCTGTTTATCTGTCTTTGTATCAGTACCATACTGTTTTTGTTATTGTAGCTTTTAATGTTTTAAAATCGGGAAGTATAATGCCTGTTTGTTCTTTTCATGGGTGTTTGGTTAGTTATAGTTCACAATCACATTTAAAAATTTTAAAGAATATTTCTGTAATAACTGTGCTATTGAGATTTTTATAGAGATTGTACTGAATTTGTTCACCTCTGTAGGTTGTATTGGCATCTTAACAAAATTAAAATTTTTGACCCTCGAGCAGGAATATGTTGAAGAATGTGTTTTAATTTAATTTTATTTTATTTTATTTATTAGAGACAGTTTATTTATTAGAGACTAGCCTATGTTGCCTAGGCTAGTTTCCAACACCTGTGCTCAAGCAGGTCTCTTGCCTCAGCCTCCCAAAATGGTAGTATTACAGGTGTGAGCCATTGCACTCAGCCCATGTGTTTTATTTTTAGATATTGTTGGAGTTGCCAGTTTTACTTTTGCTTTTAATTCCTAGTTTTATTCAGTTTTGGTCAGATACCATGCAGTGCATGATTTTGGTCTTCTTAAATTTATTTGTTGTTGTCATTTTCAGACATGATCATACTCCGTCACCCAGGCTGGAGTATAGTGTCATAATTTTGGCTCACTGCAACCTCAGCCTGCTTGACTCAAGTGATCTTTACACCTCAGCCTCCTGAGTAGCTGAGACTATGGACATGCACTACCATGCCTGGCTAATTTTTTGATTATTTCTAGGGACAGGCTCTCACTATGTTACTGACACTGGTCTTATACTTGTGGTCCCAAGTGATCCTCTCACTTTTGTCTTCCAAATTGTTGAAATTATGCGTATCAGCCACTACGTATTCTTCAATAAGACTTGTTATGTGTTCTAACAGAATACATCAGGTGCAAATAAGAATATTGTGTATTATTTTGCTTTTAACTGAAAAATTTTGTACATGTCTGTTAAGCCTAGTTTGTCTGTGATATGGTTTGGATGAACATGTTCTGCAAACCTCATGCTGCGATGTAATCCCCAATGTTGGATGTGGAACCTGGTAGGGAGGTGTTTAGGTCATGGGGACGAATTTCTCATAAATGCCTTGGCACCAGCCTTTTGATAATCAGAAAGTTTACACTTCATTAATTCAAATGAGAGCTGGTTCATTAAAAGAACCTGGCCTTTTTTATTTTTTTGAGATGGAGTTTCACTCTGTAGTCTAGGCTGGAGTGCAATGGTACCATCACGGCTCACTGCAACTTCCACCTCCCTGATTCATGCAATTTTCTTGCCTCAGCCTCCCAAGTAGCTGGGATATAGGCACCCGCCACCATGCCCAGCTAATTTTTGTAGTTTTTTAGTAGAGATGGGATTTCACCATGTTGGTCAGGCTGGTTTCGAACTCCTGACCTCATCGACCTCCCAAAGTGCTTGGATTACAGGCGTGAGTCTCTGCGCCTGGCCTGAACCTGGCTTTTTCACCTTACACTTGCTCTTTTTCTTACCACATCCAGTTTCCATTCTCTGTATATGACTAGTCAGTTCTCCCAGAACCATTTATTAAATAGGGAGTTCTTTCCTTATTGCTTGTTTTTGTCAGGTTTTTCAAAGATCAGGCAGTTGTAGATTTGCAGTCTTATTTCTGAGTTCTCTATTCTGTTTCATGGGTCTATGTGTCTGTTTTTATACCAGTGCCAGGCTGTTTTGGTTACTACAGCCTTGTAGTATAGTTTGAAGTTGGATAGCATGATGCCTCCAGCTTTGTTCTTTTTGCCTAAGATTGTCTTGGCTATATGGGGCCTTTTTGGGTTCCACATTAATTTTAAAATAGTTTTCTCATTCTCCATCAGTTTTTTTTTTTTTTTTTTTTTTTTTTTTTTTTTTTTTTTTTTGACATAGTGTCACTCTATCGCCCAGGCTGGACTGCAGTGGCACCATCTCGGCTCATTGCAACCTCCACCTCCTGGGTTCAAGCAGTTCCCCTGACTCAGTTTCCTGAGTAGCTGGGATCACAGGCGTGCGCTACCACACCCAGATAATTTTTGTATTTTTAATAGAGATGGGGTTTCACCATGTTGGCCAGGCTGGTCTTGAACTCCTAACCTCAGCTGATCTGCCCGCCTCAGCCTCTCAAAGTGCTGGGATTACAGGCAAGAACCACTGTGCCCGGCCTGCATCGATATTTATCAGGGATATTGGTTTTAAGTTTTTGTTGTTGTTGTTTTTATATCTCTGCCAGGTTGGATATCAGAATGATGCTGATCTTATAAAATGAGGGAGGAGTTCCTACTTTTCTTTCATTTAAAATGGTTTCAGAAGAAATGGTGCCAGCTCTTCTTTGTACCTCTGGTAGAATTCAGCTGTAAATCCATCTGGTCCTGGGCTTCTTTTGGTTGGCAGCCTACTTATTACTGTCTCAATTTCAGAACTTGTTGTTGGTCTATTCAGGGATTCAACTTCTTCCTGGTTCAGTCTTGGGAGGGTGTAGATGTCCAGTAATTTATCCATTTCTTCTAGATTTTCCAGTTTATGTGCATAGTGGTGTTTATAGTATTTTCTGATGATTGTATTTCCTTTTTTTTTTTTCTTCTTTTTTTTTATTTTTGGAATGAAGTCTCACTCTTGTCCCCCAGGCTGGAGTGTGATGGTGCAATCTCGGTTCACTGCAACATCCGCCTCCTGGGTTCAAGTAATTCTCCTGCCTCGGCCGCCTGAGTAGATGGGATTATAAGCACCAGCCACCATGCCCAACTAATTTTTTTTATTTTTTTATTTTTAGTAGAGACAGGGTTTCACTTTGTTGGCCAGGCTGCTCTAGAAGTCCTGACCTCAGGTGATCCACCCACTTCACCCTCCCAAAGTGCTGGGATTACAGGCATGATCTACCACGCCAAGCCCTGATGATTGTATTAATGTAGGGTCAGTGCTGATATCTGCTTTATCATTTTTTATTGTGTCTATTTCATTCTTCTCTCTTTTCTTTATTAATCTAGCTAGTGGTCTATCTCTTTTATTTTATTTTTTTTAAACAGCTCCTGGATATATTGATTTTTTTGAAGGGTTTTTTTTGTGTCTCTATCTCCTATGGTTCCACTCTGATCCTGGTTATTTTTTGTCTTCTGCTGGCTTTGGGGTTTGTTTGCTCTTGGTTCTCTTTTCCTTTTAGTTGTGATGTTAGGAAGTCAATTTGAGATCTTTCTAGCTTTTTGATGTGGGTATTTAGTGCTATATTTTCCCCCTTAACACTACTTTAGCTGCATTCCAGAGATTCTGGTATATTGTCTCTTTGTTCTCATTGGTTTCAAAGAATTTTTTTATTTCTGACTTAATTTTATTATTTACTCAGAAGTCATTCAGGAGTATGTTGTTAAATTTCCATGCAGTTGTGTGGTTTTGAGTGAGATTCTTACTCTTGAGTTCTAATTTGATTGCACTGTGGTCTGAGAAACTGTTATGATTTTGGTTCTTTTGAATTTGCTAAGGAATGTTTTACTTCCAATTATGTAATCAATTTTAGAGTAAGTGCCATGTGGCAATTAGAAGAATGTGTATTGTGTTTTTGGCTGGTGAGTTCTGTAAATATCTATCAGGTCCACTTGACCTAGAGCTGAGTCCAAGTCCTGAATATCCTTGTTATTTTTCTCTCTCAGAGATCTGTCTAGTATTGGCAGTGGGGTGTTAAAGTCTCCCACTGTCATTGTTTGGGAGTCTAAGTCTCTTTGTAGGTATCTAAGTATGTTTTATAAATCTGAGTGCTGGCTGGATGTGTGGCTCATGCCTGTAATGCCAGCATTTTGGGAGGCCAAGGCAGGCAGATCCCCTGAGGTCAGGAGTTTGAGACCAGCCTAGACATGGTGAAACTCTGTCTCTATTAAAAATACAAAAATTAGCTGGGCATAGTGGTTGGTGCCTGTAATCCCACCTACTCAGGAAGCTGAGGCAGGAGAATCACTTGAACCTGCGAAGTGAAGGTTGCAGTGAGCCAAGATCGCGCCATTGCACTCTAGCATGGGCAACAGAGTGAGATTCCATCTCAAAAAAATAAATCAATAAGGCCGGGCATGGTGGCTCACGCCTGTAATGCCAGCACTTTTGGAGGCTGAGGCTGACAGATCATGAGGTCGGGAGATCGAGACCATCCTGGCTAACAAGGTGAAACCCCGTCTCTACTAAAAATACAAAATACTAGCCGAATGTGGTGGCGGGCACCTGTAGTCCCAGCTGCTCAGGAGGCTGAGGCAGGAGAATGGTGTGAACCCGGGAGGCAGAGCTTGCAGTGAGCCAAGATCATGCCACTGTACTCCAGCCTGGGTGACAGAGTAAGACTCCGTCTCAAAAAAAATCAATCAAGCGAGCAATAAAAACAAATCTGGGTGTTCCTTGAATTGATCCCTTTAGCATTATGTAGTGTCCTTCCTTGTCTTTTTTGATCTTTGTTGGTTTAAAGTCTGTTTTATCAGAAACTATGATTGCAACCTCTGCTTTTTTTCTGATTTTATTTGCTTGGTAAATTCTTCTCCCTTTATTTTGAGGCTATGTGTGTCGTTGCATGTGAGATGGGTCTCTTGAATACAGCACACCAGTGAGTTGACTCTTTAACCAGCTTGCCATTCTGTGCCTTTTTTTTTTTTTTTTTTTTTGAGACAGAGTCTTACACGGTCGCCCAGGCTGGAGTCTGGAGTGCAGTGGCACAATCTTGGCTCACTTCCAGCTCCGCCTCCGGGGTTCATGCCATTCTCCTGCCTCAGCCTCCCGAGTAGCTGGGACTACAGGCACCCACCACCACGCCCTGCTAATTTTTTGTATTTTTAGTAGAGACGGGGTTTCACCGTGTTAGCTAAGATGGTCTCGATCTCCTGACCTCATGATCCACCCACCTCGGCCTCCAAAAGTTCTGGTATTAATTGGAGCATTCAGTCCATTTAAATTTAAGGTTAATATTGTTATGTGTGAATTTGATCCTGTTCTCATGGTGCTAGCTGGTTATTTTGCAGACCTGTTGACGTAGTTGTTTTGTAGTGTCATTGGTCTTTGTACTTCAATGTGTTTTGCATTTGCTGGTAGTGGTTTCTTCTTTTCATATTTAGTGCTTCTTTCAGGAGCTCTTGCAAAGCAGGCCTAGTGGTGATGAATTCCCTCAGCATTTGTTTGTCTGAAAATGATTTCATTTCTCCTTCACTATGAAGCTTAGTTGCAGGATATTCTGGGTTAGAAATTCATTTTTTTTAAGAATGCTGAATATTGGCCCCCAATGTCTTCTGGCTTGTAGGGTATCTTTTTAGAGGTCCACTTTTACTCTGATGGGCTTCCCTTTCTGGGTGACCTGGCCTTCCGGTTGGCTGTCCTTATCATTTTTTCCTGAAGTTTAAACTTGAATAATCTGATAATTATGTGTCTTGAGGTTGATCTTCTCATGGAGTATCTTACTGGGGTCCTCTGGATTTTCTGAATTTGAATGATGGCCTGTCTTGTTAGGTTGGAAAAGTTTTTCTCGATGATATCCTGAAGTATGTTTTCCAACTTGGTTCCATTCTTTCCCTCTCTTTAGTGTACTGCAATCAGTTGTAAGTTTGGTCTGTTTACATAATCCAATAGTTCTTGAAGATTTTTTTCATTCCTTTTTATTTTTATTTTTTCAATCTTATCTGCCTTATTTTAGCAAGATAGTCTTCAAGCTCTGAAATTCTTTTTCCTGCTTGGTCTACTCAGTTACTGATACTTGTGGTTGCATTGTGAGGTTCTCATGTTGTTTTTCAGTTGCATCAGGTCGTTTATGTTCCTCTCTAAACTGGTTATTCGGGTTAACAGCTCCTGTAATGTTTTTCATGGTTCCTGGCTTTTTTGCATTGGGTTAGAACATGCTTCATTAGCTCACTGAAGTTCATTATTACCCACCTTCTGAAGCCTACTTCTGTCAGTTTATCCATCTCAGGCTTCTCCCGGTTCTGTGCTCTTGCTGGAAATATGTTTTGATTATTTGGAGGAGTAGAGACACTCTGGGTTTTTGAGTTTTCAGCATTTTTTGGTTGATTCTTCTGATCGTCATGAGTTTATCTAGCTTTGGTCTTTGAGGCTGCTGACCTTTGGATGGGGTTTTTGTGGGGACATTTTTGTTGATGCTGCTGTGGTTGCTTTCTGTTTTTCCTTTAACAGTCAGGCCCGTCTTCTGTAGGGCCGCTGTGATTTGCTTGGGATCCACTTCAGATCCTATTTGCCTGGGTTTCTCCCACACCTGGAGGTGTCACCAGTGGAGTGTGTAGAACAGCAGAGAGAACTGCCTGCTCCTTCATCTGTAAGCTTTATCCCAGATGGGCACTGAGCTGATGACAGTGGGAATACTTCTTTATAAGTTGTCTTACAATGCCTGTTGGTGGGGTGGTCCTCACTCAGTCAGGATGCACAGGATTCAGGAACCATTTAACAAGGCACTCTGGCTGCTTCTTGGTGAAGGGGGTGTGCTTCACTGGGAGAAATTCCATACATCTGGACTGCCCAGATTCCTCAGCCAGCAGGGGGAAAGACTAAGTCTGCTGATCTGCAGAAATCACCTCATTGTTACTATTTTATGTGTTTCTTGTAGATATGTCTTTTCTCATTTCCTGTGTTACTACCTTAATTTTTGTTTGTTTTAATTTTGTTGTGACTTGCTTTGATTATTTTTTATTTTGTTTTGCATACTTTCCAGAAGTATAATGTAATCATCTTGAAATATAATGTAACCATATTGAAAAACAGATTACATAAAACATCTTAAAGTTAAAACAATGTATTTTAATCTCATCACACCTTCAATTAAGTACAAAACCTCTGTTGTTATATTTTCCAATTTGTTATTAATATTAAAAACCATATTATCTTACATTGTGTATCTATTAACAGATTTATGCAGATTTATATCTTGTTTTTTATATCTAAAGAACTGTAAGGGTTTTATGTGCATCATTATGATAGTAAAAAAATTCTATATGTGTCTGTATTTACATTTAATAGAGAGTTTTATATTTATACATTTTTTTGATACTTCTGGCATCATTTTGTTCTTCAACATAATGGACTCATTTTAGCATTTCTTTTTGTTTATATGCAGAGTTTCACTATGTTTCTCTGGCTGATCTTGAACTACTGGTCTCAAGTGATCTATCTGCCTTGGCTTCCTAAAGCTGTAGAATTACAGGCCTGAGCCACTGTGCCTGGCCACCATGTAACATTTTATGTAGGACTGTGGTAGTTGTAATAAATGCCCTGAATTTTTATTTTGGAAAGTCCTTATTTTTATCTTGTTTTTGAAGTAAAATAATTTTGAATTAAATATTGGTTAGAAATTTTTTTGTTACATAAAAATTTGGGAAGTTCTCAGCCTTTTTTGTCTTCAAGTTACCTCTGTATTACTTTTTCCCTATATTCTTCTAAGATTCATTTGATGAATATATTGATCTACTTGATGGCATCCAATACGTTTTACATTCCATATTTTAATTTTGTGTTATATATTTTACATATATTATATATATATATATTTTATATTGTGTTATGTATTTTAAGGTATGACACCTAACACCAGTTGCTTGTGTTTTGGTGTTTTATTTTATATTGCCATTGTGTATGACAGTGTTTAACTCTGTACAATTTAAGACTGTGTCTAGCCAAATCAAATATAAATCAGCCATATGTCTACTGCCAATATAATTACCTCTGTGTTTGTTTGCCTCTACAAATATCATCTCTGTTTATTTTATGACTTGTATATTTGTTGTGTAGGTTTGTTGTAAATGGTCGTTCAATCTTGGCTAGGTGACCAGTTATAAAAATTCTCCTAATTTCAATATCTGTTGTGAATCTACATTACTTCTATGTGGGAGAAACACTTTGGGATTTGAAGATAATATTGAAACTATTGTAACTGTATCTTTCTTGGTATTAATTGTTCATTTTTACTTGAACACATAAAATATTAGCAATTTTTTTTTTTTGAGACGGAGTCTCGCTCTGTCGCCAAGACTGGGGTGTAGTGGCGGGATCTTGGCTCGCTGCAACCTCCGCCTCCTGGGTTCAAGTGATTCTTTTGCCTCACTGTGTTGGCCAGGCTGGTCTCGAACTCCTGACCTTGTGATCCGCCCACCTTGGCCTCCCAAAGTGCTGGGATTACAGATGTGAGTCCCGGCACCAGGCCCATTATCAAATATTTTTTAATATTCTGTTTATTCCTCTTAATTATATTGATAATGTTATGCAGCATACCCCTAGAATGTTTTATCTTGCAAAGCTAAATCTCAATGTACAACAACCAATTTGTCTGATGTTCTGGCACTTTGCAAACACCACTTTGTTTTCTATTTCTAAGAATGTGACTGCTTCATGTGTCTCATACAATCTCTGTCTCATTGTGGCTAGCTCATTTTATTTTGCATAATGTCATCAAGCTTTATTTTTAGAGTTATTAGAATATTTCCTGCTTTTTAAATCCTGGATGATATTCCAGTATTTTTATATTGCAAATTATATCTATTGGATAATTTGGTGACAGAAAGTTGCATTGCCGGGCACGGTGGCTCATGCCTGTAATCCCAGCACTTTGAGAGGCTGAGGCAGGCGGATATCAAGGTCAAGAGATCGAGACCATCCTGGCCAACATGGTGAAATGCTGTCTCTGCTAAAAATACAAAAATTAGCCAGGCATGGTGGCACACACCTGTAGTCCCAGCTACTCAGGAGGCTGAGGCAGGAGAATCACTTGAACCCAGGAGGCGGAGGTTGCAGTGAGCCAAGATCATGCCACTGCACTCCAGCCTGGGCAACAGTGCAAGACTCCATCTCAAAAAATAAAAAATAAAAAAAAAAGGAAAGAAAAAGGAAAGAAACTTGCATTGCTATTGGTAAAAAATGCTGCAATAATTATGGATATGAAAATAACTCTTCATATAAACATATATGTGAAAGTTTCTATAGATGTGGCATTCTATTTTATTAGTCTACTTTTTAACCATTATACTCATACCAACTTGTTTTAATTATGTAGCTTTGCAATGTGCTTTTAAATCAGGAACTATAATGCCTTCAACATTTTCTTTTTTTTGAAGACTCTTGGGTACTTTATTGTCTCTTGACATTTTATATACTTTTGGGGTTGTTGTTTCTAGTTTCTCAAAAATGCAATGAGAAATTTTTAACAACATTGCACTAAATCTGTAGATTACTTTGAAAAGTATGGACATTTTCAAAATATCTATTATTTCTATCTTTGAACAGGAGCATGCTCAAGAGTGTGTTAATTTCCATATATTTGTAAATGTTTAATTGTTTTTCTATTATTGTTTTATACTCCCATTTTGTTCATGTAATATAATCCATACAATCTCAGTCTTAACAAATGTGTTAAGACTTCTTTTTTGGCCTAACATGTGGTCTATTAAGGAGAATGTTGTATGAGCAATTGAGAAGCATGTGTATCCCGATATTGTTGAGGAATCTTCTCTATACCTCTGTTAGAAATAATTGTTTTATACTGCCTTCACGTCCTCTCTTCACTTACAAATATTCTGTTTTGATTTATTTTTATTACAGAAAGTAAGTTATTGAAATGTCCTACTATAGTATTGCTGTCTAGATGTTTCTTCAGTTCTATCAATATTTGCTTTATGTATTTGGAACCTTAATGTGAGATACACACACACACACACACACACACACACACACACTTAGGTTATCAGTAAATGAATCTATTATTGTTTAATGCCCTTCTTTGTCTCTTTGCAGTTTTGACTTGCAGTACATTTTATAAAATATGAAAGTTTTTCACGTAAGATGTAGCTTATGTAATATTATTTTGACCTCTTCTCTCATTTGGTTAATATTTACATGCAATATCTACATCCATCTTGCCACTTTCAGTTTTTTTTTAATCAATAGATCTCAGCTTACTGTCGTAGAAAGGCAAGTTGGATCTCAGTTTTTAAAATATTTAAATAAGTCTCTATTGAAAGTATGTCTCTTGATTGGAAAGTTAAACATATATATTTAAATAATTTTCTGAAACAGAAAGACATACTAATGTTATTTTATTAATTGTTTTATTTGATTCTTATATCTTGGTCACTCATTTTCTCTCTGTCTTTGTATCTTTTTATTTTTATATTGATATGCTTTTACTTCTTTCTTGTTTTGTGTATCTATACACACATGTTCTTTTTTGGACCTTGGGGATTACGTAAACCTCTAAAAGATATAACAGTATATTTCAATCTGGTAAAAAAGAACTTCAGTTGCATGCACATTTTTTTTCTCATTACTTCTCCCCTCAAATTTGTCATTGATTTTGCTAATTATATCTTTTTATGTTGTATATTTATTAACAGATGTTTATAATGATTTCTCTGATTTTCACTTTCAAATTTTAGAGAATAATTAAAAATGTTTTCTGCACCATTATGATAATGCTAAGGAATTCCATTTTGGTGTATGTGCATATACTTAGAAGTAAAAGTATATATGTGCATATAATCTTTCCCAGAAAGTAATGTATTTTTTTGTTGTTTTTTGTTTTTGTTTTGTTTTGTTTTTATTTTTTCTTTCATTATTATACTTTAAGTTCTAGGGTACATGTGCACAATGTACAGGTTTGTTACATATGTATACATGTGCCATGTTGGTGTGCTGCACCCATTAACTCGTCGTTTACATTAGGTATTTCTCCTAATGCTATCCCTCCCCCCTCCCGAAAGTAATGTATTTTTATTTGACTGTGTTGTTTTTGTTGAATCATGTTATTTTCAATAGAAGCAACTGCTTTCAGTACATTTTGTATGTAGGGTTTATGGAGTTCCAATATACTTTTCAGAATTTTGTTACTTTTGAAAGTTATTTTCTTTTTATTTGGCAGGACAGATTTGCTGATAGTATTATGCTTACTTGATTGCTGTATTTTACAGGAGTTTGACTTTATTACACACTTCCCTTCTGGCCTGCAAAATTTTTATTGACAATTCACTGGCTGTCTCATAAGACTATGCTGGCAAATGACGCATCACTTTTATCTTGCAGCTCCCAAGGTTCTCTTGTCTGTGACTTTTGAAATTGTGCTTATATATGTGTTTGTTATAAATATCTTTGTGTGTTTCCTAGTTTGTTTGTTGAGCTTCTTCATCTTTACATCGTTTCTTTCAATATTTTTCAGCTATTCTTTTTTATATTTATTACCTCCACAATTTGTTTTTTTGATATTCTAAATATTTATGTTCTTATCTTCATTTTTCTGATTTTCTATAGTTCTCTGTCTTCCTGTTTCACTCACTGAGTATTATTCAATTTATTTTCAATTTTTAAAATCGGTGTGTATACATCTTTTTTATAGTTTCTTTTTTAAAATTTTATATTTTTATGGAACCATATTGCCTTATTTTGTATACATTGTAATCCTTGATTGAAATTTGGACATTAAAAAAGGCTACCTGTCACAATCTTTATAATGTAGCTTTGTCCTGGCATAGTCTGAACAATCGTCTTGGTTAGAGATTCTGGGAGTCTCTCAAACATGTTCTTAGAATGTGTCTTGTCTGAGATTTTGTCTTTCTCTTTTAGTTAAAGGAGTTTATTCATGTTTCTTCTTAATAATAATCACGTGCTACACCTGTTTTCTGTCTGTGGTACAGCAGTCTCTCTGTTGCTGAAACATTTACCTTTGGTCTCAGCAAAGTTAAGACTGTCACTCCAAAGTATACCACCGTTTCTTTCAGCATTATATTTCAAGAGAGACACAAACCAGTGTCTGGAAAGGCTCCTAGAAGCAAGTAATAAAGATAAATGTGCCAGTATTTTACTTGTCATTAAAAACAAGTTGGCAATTTACTTCTAAAGACAGTATGTTATATTGGGGAGCAGAAAGAGCTCTGTTGGGTAAATGTACAGACTTTTACTTCTAAGTGGCTCTTTGCATTGTTCTCACCAGGGGCACTTCACACACTTAACTCATTTATAATTTTTTTCAGATGTAATTTGGTTGGTTTTTTTTTTTTTACATTTATATGTCTATAAAGGAATGAGGGCCTTTGGTATTTTCCTATGCCATCTTATTTATGTAGTTTGTATATTAGAGGTTAGATTTGTAAACTATCTGTGTCTAGTAAGTAAAGTAATTTGTTATTTTTATTTCTTTCAGTTATATGTTCTCATTTTCCCCAAGACCTTTGGGCAGAGCAGGACATTAAAGATTCTTTTCAAGAAGCGATTCTGAAAAAATATGGAAAATATGGACATGACAATTTACAGTTACAAAAAGGCTGTAAAAGTGTGGATGAGTGTAAAGTGCACAAAGAACATGATAACAAATTAAACCAGTGTTTGATAACTACCCAGAGCAACATATTTCAATGTGATCCATCTGCAAAAGTCTTTCATACATTTTCAAATTCAAACAGACATAAGATAAGACATACTAGAAAGAAACCTTTCAAATGTAAAAAATGTGAAAAATCATTTTGCATGCTTTTACACCTAAC
This sequence comes from Homo sapiens, assembly GCF_000001405.40. NCBI lineage: Eukaryota > Metazoa > Chordata > Mammalia > Primates > Hominidae > Homo > Homo sapiens. The sequence goes on along the minus strand of NW_003315964.2, from coordinate 88,839 downwards.
TCAACATAAAAGATTTCATATTACAGAGAATTCCTACCAATGTAAAGATTGTGGCAAAGCCTTCAACTGGTTCTCAACCCTTACTACACACAGGAGAATTCATACTGGAGAGAAACCCTACAAATGTGAAGAATGTGGGAAAGCATTTAACCGGTCCTCACACCTTACTACACATAAGATAATTCATACTGGAGAGAAACCATACAGATGTGAAGAATGTGGGAAAGCTTTTAACCGGTCTTCACACCTTACTACACATAAAAGAATTCATACTGGAGTGAAACCCTACAAATGTACAGAATGTGGCAAAGCTTTTAACCGGTCCTCACACCTTACTACACACAGGATAATTCATACTGGAGAGAAACCCTACAAATGTGAAGAATGTGGCAAAGCCTTTAACCAGTCCTCAACCCTTACTACACATAAGATAACTCATGCTGGAGAGAAACCTTACAAATGTGAAGAATGTGGCAAAGCTTTTTACCGATTCTCATACCTTACTAAACATAAGACAAGTCATACTGGAGAGAAATTCTACAAATGTGAAGAATGCGGCAAAGGCTTTAACTGGTCCTCAGCCCTCACTAAACATAAGAGAATTCATACTGGAGAGAAACCCTACAAATGTGAAGAATGTGGCAAAGCTTTTAATGAGTCCTCAAACCTTACTACCCATAAGATGATTCATACTGGAGAGAAACCCTACAAATGTGACGAATGTGGCAAAGCCTTTAACCGGTCCTCACAACTAACTGCACATAAGATGATTCATACTGGAGAGAAACCCTACAAATGTGAGGAATGTGGCAAAGCTTTTAACCGATCCTCAACCCTTACTAAACATAAGATAACTCATACTGGAGAGAAATCTTACAAATGGGAAGAATGTGGTAAAGACTTTAACCAGTCCCTAAGCCTTATTAAACAAAATAACTCATACTGGAGAGAAACCCTACAAATGTGAAAAATGTGGCAAAGCCTTTTACCAGTCCTCAACTCTTACTAAACATAAAAAAATTCATACTGGAGGGAACTCCTGTGACTGTGAAGAATATGGCAAAGCCTTTAATAAATTCTCAATTCCTAACAGACATAAGATAATTCATACTAGAGAGAAATTCTACAAACCAGAAAGATGTGACAGTGCTTTGAAAACACCTCAAACTTTTCAAAACATAAATCATAGTGTTGAGAAATCCTAGAAATGTGAAGAATGTGATAAAGTTTTAAATGGTTGTCACACTTGATTGTAGGTAAGGTAAGTTATACTGGAGAAAACTTCTACATGTGTGAACAGTGTGACAAAACTTTTAACTAATGCTCACACCTTCACAGGAAAGCATTTATACTTGAGAAATATTGTACAAATATAAAGACTGTGAAAAAGCCATTAATACATGCTCACATCTTACTCAACATCAGAGAGTTCATACTCAATAAAAACATAAGTGCAACTACTGTCAAAATATCTTTAAGAAAATATAAGCTTTTAAAGTGAAGAGTATTTTGAAGAAGAACATTGTAGTAGAATTGTAATATGTTTACTTGTATCACAGATCTTACTGTACACGTTTTGTATTAGAGGAAACCTCTGAAGCAGTTGCTCAAACTTTGTTCAATATCAGGGAATTTATATTGAAAAAAACTGTGCGAATGTAATAAAGTTGGAAAAATACTTTTTCAAAAACTACAGCTTAGAAAACACCAGAGAGTTCATACTAAAACATATTTTTGCAGATACAGGAAAAATTTTTTAAAAATTTTAATCATTAAGTCTGTAAATATCAGAGAATTTACAGTAGAAATATGTAAGGCACTGATGCTTCAGGTATTTTACTAAATCAGAGTGCTGAGTATAGAAAATAATCTAAAACTAAAATTGGTAAAATATTTGTATATAACTTTAAAAGTAGAAATTTTTTGCAGTTATTGCATTCAAAGTATGCTTAACTTTTTGAAAAAATTAGATTTTTTGAAAAGTGAGTAATAATGTAATTCAACTCTTAAATTATTTCCTGCCTTTTCTTCACTCCTATTTACATGTGAAAGCATGTGATCAATTGTTGCTGCATCAGATATGAGAGATTCTTTTTTATTAGGTGAGCATTATTTATAAACTTTGCTATGAAAAAGACATTAAAATATGAGATGTATGATGAAAATCTAAGTGAAGAGACTTTTATGGTTAACTTATAATATTAAGCAATGTGTGCGTTAGGCATTCAGAGTAATATTCTGCATTATGAGAAAACTTAATTTCATTTATAAGTAAATTAAAATTAGTATATTTTACTAATACTTTTATATAAAATGCAGTATATTTTTTAAATTTCAGATTATATGTGATGTTAATATATTCAACCTTTTTAACATGTTAAATACTATTGTGCATTCAGTGAAGTGTTATTATGCCACAGACATTAACCTATTCCACCTTACTCAAGGGTGTACGTAAAACATGGTAACAGTATACTATTTGGTAACATAATGGATTAACATCTCTAGTAATCTCTTTTGCTAGTGGCTTTGACTGCAAATAAGTTAAAGAATATTATTTCTGTAGGTTAAATTTTTGTTTTTATTTTATTTTATTTTTGAGAGGTAGTCTTGCTCTGTCACCCAGGCTGGAGTGCAGTGGCACGATCTCGGCTCACTGTAACCTCCACCTCCTGGGTTCACGCAATTCTCCTGCCTCAGCCTCCTAAGTAGCTGGGATTACAGGCACCCACCACCATGCCCAGCTAATTTTTGTATTTTAGTAGAGACAGGGTTTCATAATGTAAGTCAAGCTGGTCTCGAACTCCTGACCTTAAATGATTTGCCTGCCTCGGCTTCCCAAAGTTCTGGGATTACAGGCATGAGCCACCGTGCCCAGCCAAATGTTTATTTTATTTAAATTTATTTTTCTTAATTATTTGGGGTACATAATATGAGTATATATTCATGCAATATATGGCATATTTTGATACAAGAATACAGTATATAATAATCACATCAGGGTAAATGAGGTATCCATCACCTCTAGTATTTATCCTTTGTATTACAAGCAACCCAGTTTTATACTTTTAGTTATTTTAAAATGTAAAATTAAATTGTTATTGATTACAGTGTTATTTTTATGGTCATAATAAAAGTTATGTAGAAGTATAATAAAATCCCTACATTTCTGAGGCCTGAATAAGTATTTTTAAAGTTTTCTAATATTTATTTTTTGAGCATGTTTCCTGTCTGCCTGCAAACACATGCAGACATTTAGTTTTGATTTACATATAGTTAAATATATGTTAGTCTAAAGATAAACCTTAAGTGTAAGAAAATTATAGAGTGAGTTTGTGTGTATGAATTTGTACCTGTTTTCCGAAGAAAAAAGCAATACTGAACAAAACAAATCATTTTAACAAGATGACTACTAGAAAACTAAAAGCCTCAAAAATGCTAAAAGAAAATGTATTCTCTGCTTTGTATTGAATTTATTACTGTACATTCTGTGGCTTATAGTTCTGAATCTCCCCATGAAAATTCTGTTTATACTTGCCTGGTACTCATGATAGACCCCTAATTATTTTGTATCTTTTTTCATATAAATATTTTACAGATTATGAAGTATTCATTATGTGAGCTGGTCTGTGATTATAAGAATAATTTTTACAAAATTTAGTGCATACAAAATTTTTAAATGTAATTCCACAATTAGTGTATTAAGTTACATTTTATTTAGTTAGAACACTTCATTTTGTTTTTAGTTGGAGAACTCTATAGCCCTTTAGTTATTTTTCTTTTCACTTTTTATAGTTGACATAAGTAAATTTATTTATTGAGTCAATTTGTTCAGGTAAGTACTAGGGAAGCTTTATAAGTCGTGAGGATGTTTTTATATTTAAATGTAGCAAACATACATGACAGTTCTTGCTGTGTAACAGATGCTCCATAGTAAGCCATAAGTATTCCTGCTAAAGTTAGCTTGTAACTTCAGTTCAGAGATGGAAAACATCAGTGGTGAAGAAATAAAATTGATTCTTCATGTGGAGAGGACATAGTTTCCAGGCTGCAATGCTGAATCTTGCTGAATTTAAAGAGAAGTTCTGCATCTTTTATTTCTTAATTATCTTCAGATTTCTCTGTATTTATTATGTGTATCCCCAGCTATGTATGCAGCACAGCCCATCTCCTTTTTCTGTGTTATGGCTTCAGTTTTCTCACTGTTGTCTTAATGCCATTTCATTTCACATGGTACTTTGTAAATTTTGACGAGAAAGTTGGTTGTTTTTTTTTTTTTTTTTTTTTTTGAGACAGAGTCTCACTCTTGTTGCCCAAGCTGGAGTGCAGTGGTGCAATGTGGGCTCACTGCAACCTCTGCCTTCCAGGTTCAAGCAATTATCCTGCCTCAGCCTCCCAAGTAGCTGGGATTACAGGCACCTGCCACCACATCTGGCTGAATTTTTTTTTTTTTAATTTTTTGTAGAGACGAAGTTTCACCATGTTGGCCAGGCTGGTTTCAAACTCCTGACCTCATATGATCCACCTGCCTCAGCCTCCCAAAGTGCTTGGATTACAGGCATAAGCCACTGCACCCAGCTGAAAGTTGGTATTTTTTAATGCACTGAATAATTGTTTTTAACTGGAGAGTTTGGTTATCAATATAACTTTCGGATTAGTTAAGATAAAAGCATACATTGTCCACAGGTGAGAAGATTAAATCAGAATAGTTGTTCTTTGTTAAAAAAAAAATTAGATTCTTAAAGTGTGGCAAACATAAAATTTGCAAGAAAATGTAGAAATTAAATTTTTAAGAGTTAATGGTAAGTGAACAATTTTAAATTTATTTTTTATTATGTAACATACTTTTATTAAAATATATACTTATATAATAAAAGTATAACATAATTTTTTTTTTTCTCACATTTAATAATAATTTTTTTTTTTTTTTTTTTTTTTTATTTTTATTGATCATTCTTGGGTGTTTCTCGCAGAGGGGGATTTGGCAGGGTCATAGGACAATAGTGGAGGGAAGGTCAGCAGATAAACAAGTGAACAAAGGTCTCTGGTTTTCCTAGGCAGAGGACCCTGCGGCCTTCCGCAGTGTTTGTGTCCCTGGGTACTTAAGATTAGGGAGTGGTGATGACTCTTAACGAGCATGCTGCCTTCAAGCATCTGTTTAACAAAGCACATCTTGCACCGCCCTTAATCCATTTAACCCTGAGTGGACACAGCACATGTTTCAGAGAGCACAGGGTTGGGGATAAGGTCACAGATCAACAGGATCCCAAGGCAGAAGAATTTTTCTTAGTACAGAACAAAATGTCTCCCATGTCTACTTCTATCCACACAGACCCGGCAACCATCCGATTTCTCAATTTTTTCCCCACCCTTCCCGCCTTTCTATTCCACAAAACCGCCATTGTCATCATGGCCCATCCCCAATGAGCCGCTGGGCACACCTCCCAGACGGGGTCGTGGCCGGGCAGAGGGGCTCCTCACTTCCCAGTAGGGGCGGCCCGGCAGAAGTGCCCCTCACCTCCCAGATGGGGCGGCTGGCCGGGCGGGGGGCTGACCCCCCCACCGCCCTCCCGGACGGGGCGGCTGGCCAGGCAGAGGGGCTCCTCACTTCCCAGTAGGGGCGGCCAGGCAGAGGCGCCCCTCACCTCCTGGATAGGGCGGCTGGCCGGGGGGGGGGCTGTTCCCCCCACCTCCCTCCCGGACGGGGCGGCTGGCCGGGCAGAGGGGTCCTCACTTCCCAGTAGGGGCGGCCGGGCAGAGGCGCCCCTCACCTCCCGGACGGGGCGGCTGGCCAGGCAGGGGGCTGATCCCCCCACCTCCCTCCCGGACGGGGCGGCTGGCCGGGCGGGGGGCTGACCCCCCCCACCTCCCTCCCGGACGGGGCGGCTGGCCGGGCGGGGGGCTGACCCCCCCTCCCCCCTCCTGGACGGGGCGGCTGGCCGGGTGGGGGGCTGACCCCCCCACCTCCCTCCCGGATGGGGCGGCTGGCCAGGCGGGGGGCTGACCCCCCCACCTCCCTCCTGGGCGGGGCGGCTGGCCGGGCAGAGGGGCTCCTCACTTCCCAGTAGGGGCGGCCGGGCAGAGGCGCCCCTCACCTCCCGGACGGGGCGGCTGGCCAGGCGGGGGGCTGACCCTCCACCTCCCTCCCGGACTGGGCGGCTGGCCGGGCGGGGGGTTGACCCCCCCACCTCCCTCCTGGACGGGGCGACTGGCCGGGCAGAGGGGCTCCTCACTTCCCAGTAGGGGCGGCCGGGCAGAGGAGCCCCTCACCTCCCGGCCGGGGCGGCTGGCCGACCCCCCCCCCCCCGCCTCCCTCCCGGACGGGGCGACTGGCCGGGCAGAGGGGCTCCTCACTTCCCAGTAGGGGCGGCCGGGCAGAGGAGCCCCTCACCTCCCGGACGGGGCGGCTGGCCGGGCGGGGGGCTGACCCCCCCCACCTCCCTCCCGGACGGGGTGGCTGCCGGGCGGAGACGCTCCTCACTTCCCAGACGGGGTGGTTGCCAGACGGAGGGGCTCCTCACTTCTCAGACGGGGCGGTTGCCAGGCAGAGGGTTTCCTCACTTCTCAGACGGAGCGGCCGGGCAGAGACACTCCTCACCTCCCAGACAGGGTTGCGGCCCAGCAGAGGCGCTCCTCACATCCCAGACAGGGCGGTGGGGCAGAGGTGCTCCCCACATCTCAGACGATGGGCGGCCGGGCAGAGACGCTCCTCACTTCCTAGATGGGATGGCGGCGGGGAAGAGGCGCTTCTCGCTTCCTAGATGGGATGGCGGCCGGGCAGAGACGCTCCTCACTTTCCACACTGGGCAGCCAGGCAGAGGGGCTCCTCATATCCCAGACGATGGGTGGCCAAGCAGAGACGCTCCTCACTTCCCAGACGGGGTGGCGGCCGGGCAGAGGCTGCAATCTCGGCTCTTTGGGAGGCCAAGGCAGGCGGCTGGGAGGTGGTTGTAGCGAGCCGAGATCACGCCACTGCACTCCAGCCTGGGCACCATTGAGCACTGAGTGAACGAGACTCCATCTGCAATCCCGGCACCTCGGGAGGCCGAGGCTGGCGGATCACTCGCGGTTAGGAGCTGGAGACCAGCCCGGCCAACACAGCGAAACCCCATCTCCACCAAAAAAAAACGAAAACCAGTCAGGCGTGGCGGCGCGCGCCTGCAATCGCAGGCACTCGGCAGGCTGAGGCAGGAGAATCAGGCAGGGAGGTTGCAGTGAGCCGAGATGGCAGCAGTACCGTCCAGCTTTGGCTCGGCATGAGAGGGAGAGGGAGACGGGAGAGGGAGAGGGAGACGGGAGAGGGAGAGGGAGACGGGAGAGGGAGAGGGAGACGGGAGAGGGAGAGGGAGACGGGAGAGGGAGAGGGAGACGGGAGAGGGAGAGGGAGACGGGAGGATAACACATATAATTTTTAAGTGAATGCTAAAGGCTACAAAATAATGAGCTCTGTGAATTTGAAACTTAAAAGAATATTGCTTTTCCATATTGATATTACAATTTGGAGGAATTTCTCATATAATTTTTTAAGTGGGTGAAGTTTAGTCTACAGTTTTTATTTTCTGTCCCTGAAATGCAGGCAACTCCTTAGTCATTTTTTCTGGATAAATTTTGGGCATCATGACAGCATTTGGATTAAAACATTTTCTGTTACTTTGCATGCAAACTAGTTTACTGTGTTCACAGAGTGGCCAGTCATGGGACCATAAGCAACACCTGCTCTTTGAGTGTCTTTCATACCATTACCATCAGCACCAGAAACTCCAGGTGCCCGGAGCTTAAAGTAAAAATCCTAAAGGACATAAGCTTCTTCCATGCAATGTGCTGGGTCCAGAACATACTGTTAAATATCGGAGTTCCTACGGTTATGACTGACAAATTAAATGATAAAAACACAAAAACTATATATCTTGATACTATTCAACCAAAAACAAAAACTATATATTTTGATACTATTCAACCAAGATTATGACAAAAACATGGACAGTATTTGACACATTGTTATCCTTCTATAAAGCTTTAAAAACTTAACTTGACAGATAAAATGTGTACTTTTTCTGTAGAACATAATATTTTGAAGTGTATATACATTGTCAGGTGATTAGTTCTAGGTAACTAATACTTCACATAGTTAACGTTTTTGTGGTGAGACCACATGACATTGTCTTACCACTTTTCAAAAATACAAAAACATGAGCTATAGTCACCATGCTGTACAAAAAAATCTCTTGAACTTATTTCTTCTATTCAACTCTATGTATTATTTGACAGATATCATTCCAACCCTCTTTTTTCTTTTTCTTTTTTGAGACAGTCTCACTCTGTCACCAGCTGGAGTGTAGTGACACAATCTTGGCTCACTGCAATCTCTGCCTCCCCAGTTCAAGTGATTCTCCTGCCTCAGCCTCCCAAGTAGCTGGGATTACAGGCATGTGCCACCACACTCAGCTAATTTTTGTGTTTTTAGTAAAGACGGGATTTCACTATATTGGCCAGGATGGTCTCCTCCTGACCTCGTGATGAGCCTCCCAAAGTGCTGGGGGATTACAGGCGTGAGCCACCGTGCCCAGCCCATTCTAAATACATTGGCCTCTGATGGTCACCATTTTACATCAATGAGGTTATGTTTTTTGGAATCCATGTGTAAGTGAAATCATGAACTATTAACCTTATCTCAATTAATGTTCTCCAGCTTAATCCATGTGATTAAAAATAATGAATTTTTTTTTAAAGGCCAGGTGTGGTGGCTCACACCTGTAATCCCAGCATTCTGGAAGGCCAAGGTGCATTGCATGAGCCCAGGAGTTTGAAACCAGCCTGGGCAACATGAAGAAACCCCATCTTTACTAAAAATACAACAAAAAATTAACTGGGCATGGTGGTGCACACCTGTAATCTCAGCTACTCTGGATGCTGAGGCATGAGAATCCCTTGAACCAGGGATGTGGAGGTTGCAGTGAGCCGAGATTGTATAGACAGAGACTTGGTCTCAAAAAAATTCTTTTTTAAATAGTATTCCACTGTATATATCTACCACATTGTCTTTCTTTACTCATTAGATGCTGAACTGTTGATTTTTTTTTTTTTTTTTTTTATGAAGTCTCACTCTTGTCACCCTGGCTGGAGTGCAGTGGAGCAATCCTGGCTCACTGCAACCTCCACCTCCTGGGTTTAAGTGATTCTCCCAACTCAGCCTCCAGAGTGGCTGGGATTACAGGTGCCCGTCACCATGCCTGGCTAATTTTTATATTTTTAGTAGAGACAGGGTTTCGCCATGTTGGCCAGTCTGGTCTCGAACTTATGACCCCAAGTGATCCGCCTGCCTTGTCCTCCCAAAGTGCTGGAATTACAGGTGTGAGCCACCACACCCAGCCTGAACTGTTGATTCTATATTTTGGCTATTGTGAAGAGTGCTGCAAACAACATAGAAGTGTAAGTGTTTCTTCATTCTGATTTCATTTGTTTTGGAAATATACCCAATAGTGCAACAGCTGTATTACATGGTAGTTTGATTTTAAGTTTTTTGAGAAATCTCTATTTTGTTTTCCTAACGGCCGTCTTCATTTACATTCAAACCAACAGTGTCCACGCAATGCCTTCTCATCTTTCATAACATTTTTTTCTTTTTCATTTTAATAAGAGTCATTCTAACAGGAGTGAATTGATATCTCATAGTTGTTTTTGGCTTGCCTTTCCCTGATCGTACTTAACACTGGGCATATTTAAATATATCTGTTGGCCATAAGTATGTCTTTTCTTGAAAATTATTTAAGCCTTTTGCTCATTTTAAGAGTTACTTGTTTTTGTTGTATAGTTAATTGAGTTTCATATATATTATACATATATTTATTTATATATATATATATACATATATATGTAGTTTTTTTTCTTTGAGACTGACTCTTGCTCTGTCGCCCCAGCTGGAGTGCAGTGGTATGATCACAGCTCACTACAACCTCCACCTCCTGGGTTCAAGCAATTCTCTTGCCTCAGGCTCCCTAGTATCTGGGATTACAGTCACGTGCCACCACGCCTGGCTAATTTTTGTATTTTTAGTAGAGACGGGGTTTCACCATGTTGGCCAGGCTGGTCTGGAACTCCTGACCTCAGGTGATCTGCCCACCTCAGCCTCCCCAAATGCTGGGATTACAAGTGTGAGCCACCGCACCCAGCAAAGTTTCTTACATACTTTTGGTATTAACTCCTTGTCACATGTAATTTGCGAATATTTTCTTTCATTTTTTTAGTTGTCTCATCCTGTTGATTGTATCAGATTCTGTGCAGCAGCTTTTTAATATGAAGTCATCTGACTCATCTATTTTTCCTTTTATTTCCTAAGATTTTGAGGTTAAATAAAAAAAAAAAAAAAAACTGACCAGACACGGTGGTTCACGTCTGTAATCCCAGCACTTTGAGAGGCTGAGGTGGGTGGATCACCTGAGGTCAGGAGTTCAAGACCAGCCTGGCCAACATGGTGAAACCCCATCTCTACTAAAAATACAAAAATTAGCCGGGTGTGGTGGTGGGTGCCTGTAATCCCAGCTACTTGGGATGCTGAGGCAGAAGAATCACTTGAACTCGGGAGGCAGAGGTTGCAATGAGCCGAGATCATGCCACTGCACTCCAGGCTGGGTGACCGAGTGAGACTCCGTCTCAAAAAAAAAAATAAACAAAAAACCAACTTACTGCCCAGAACAGTCTAAGGGGCTTTCATTCTATTTTTCTGTAGCAGTTTCAGAGTTTCAGGCCTTACATTTATTTGTTATTATTACTTTTGAGATGGAGTGTCACTCTTGCTGCCCAGGCTGGAGTGCAATGGTGCACGATCTCAGCTCACTGCAACCTTCACCTCCCGGGTTCAAGTGATTCTTCTGCCTCAGCCTCCCGAATAGCTGGGATTACAGGCGCCTGCAACCACACCGAGCTAATTTTGTATATTTAGTAGAAATGGGGTTCCACTACCTTGGCCAGGCTGGTCTGGAACAACTGACCTCAGGTAATCTGCCTGCCTCCACCTCCCAAAGTGGTAGGATTACAGGTGTGAGCCACCAGGCTCATCTCAAGCCTTACATTTAAGCGTCTAATTTATTTTGAAATGGTTTTTATATACGGTGTGAGATGAGGGTCTCATTTTATTTCTCTGCCTGTGGACATAAAGTTTTCTCAACATCATTTATTGAAGTTACTGTTCTTTTGGCTCATGCCTGTAATCCCAGCCCTTTGGAAGGCTAAGGAGGGTGGATCATGAGGTCAGGAGATCGAGACCATCTTGGCCAACATGGTGAAGCCCCATCTCTAATAAAATACAAAAAAGTAGCCAGGTGTGGTGGCACGCGCCTGTAGTCCCAGCTACTCAGGAGGCTGAGGCAGGGGAATCACCTGAACCCAGATGGCAGAGGTTGCAGTGAGCCGAGATCGTGCCACTGCACTCCAGCCTAGCAACAGAACAAGAGTCCATCTCAAAAATAAAAAAAGAAATTGTCAGCTTTATTCCAAATCACTTAGCTGTAAATACATGGATATATTTCTGGTCTCTTTTTTTCTACTGCATTGGCCTATGTGTCTGTTTTTATTCAAGTACCATACTGTTTTAGTTACTATTGCCTTGTAGAATATTTTGAAGGTATGGTAATACCTTTACTTTTTTTTCTTGATTGCTTTGGCTATTCAGGGTCTTTTGTGGTACCATATAAATTAAATTTTCTATGCAGTATGCCACTGGTATTTTGATAGGGGTTGCATTATATCTGTAGATCAATTTGTGTGATATAGAAATTTATTAATGCAATTCATAAATGAGTAGTATTTCATTTGCGCATTACTCAATTTATGTAATGCTGTTTACAGTATAATATAAGGTGTTTCAACTTTTTGGTTAAGTTTTTTTCAAAATATAGTTACTACAGTTTTTGTAGATGGAATTATTTTTTAATTTCATTTTGAGATATTTGTTAGTGTACATAAATGCTACTGACTTTTGGATGTTGCTTTTGTATTCTGAAAGTTTAATAAATGTGTTTATTTTAATATTTTTCAGTAAAATCTTCGGCTGTTCTATACTTCAGATTATGTACAGAGATAAAAGATAATTATATAGGGATAATGTAATTTCTTCTTAACCTGGATGTCTTTGATTTTATTCTCTAATTTCTTTGTCATGGGCATTTAGTACTATGTTTAGTAAGACTGATTAGAGTGGGCATCCTTGTCTTGTTTTAGCTTTTAGAGTAAAAGTTTACAATATATCCCCGTTTAGTATGTTGTTAGCTGTGCATTTTTTTGGTTATATGTGGCATTTATTGGCTGAGGTGCATTTGTTCTATACCTAAATTTTTCAGAGATTTATCATAAGGGAATGTCAACTTTTGTCAAACTTTTATTCTGCATCTGTTTTTTTTTTCTGTTGTTCTCTGCATCTATTTAAATATTAGAGATGTGAAATCACAACTAATCCTACATAAATGCAAAAAATTGTCAGAGACTACTATGAACACCTCTATGCATGCAAACTAGAAAATTTGGAAAAAATATGCTGGGCATGGTGGCTCACGCCTATAATCCCAACACTTTGGGAGGCTGAGATGGGCGGATCACTTGAGGTCAGGAGTTCAAGACCAGCCTGGCCAACATGGTGGAAACTCATCTCTACTGAAAATACAAAAAATAAAATTAAAAAAAATTAGCTAGTCATGGTGTCACACACCTGCCACGCACCCAGCCTCCCGAATAGCTGGGATTACAGGTGCCCACCACCACACCCAGCTAAATTTTATATTTTTAGTAGAGACAGGGTTTTGCCATGTTGGCCAGGCTGGTCTTCAACTCCTGACCTTAGGTGATGTGCCTGCCTCGACCTCTCAAAGTGCTGGGATTACAAGCATAAGCCACTGCACCCAGCCGCAATGTAATTTTCAAACAATTGACCAGCCTTTTTCCATGTCAAATTCTCTGCTTAATCTATCCTTTATTTTCACTCTTCAAAGGCATTTTAACTGTTTTTTTTTTTTTAGATGGACTTTCGCTCTTATTGCCCAGGCTGGAGTGCAATGGCACAATCTAGGCTCGCCACAAGCTCCGCCTCTTGGGTTCAAACAATTCTCCTGCCTCAGCCTCCTGAGTAGCTGGGATTACAGGCATACGCCACTACACCTGGCTAATTTTGTATTTTTAGTAGAGATGGGGTTTCTCCATGTTGGTCAGGCTGGTCTCAAACTCCTGACCTCAGGTGATCTGCCCGCCTTGGCCTCCCAAAGTGCTGGGATTACAGGCGTGAGCCACCGCACCCAGCCATATACATGCTTTTATGACAAATCATTTTGTGATTATTTAAATTTTTAATTTAGCAGCGTTGTCTGGGTTTAAAATATGAATGGTGACATATCAGAGAAAGAAATAATAAAGAATACAAAACAAAGCATGATAGTGTTGATGGCTGTGTGAGACCTCGATTCTTCTCACTTTCAAAAAATTTAAACAAGAGACACAAAACAATGAAGATGCAGCATAGAGTGATTTATTGCAAAGTAGAAATACTATTTTAAAAGTTAGGTAAAGAATAGCCAGTACTCGCTGAGAGAGGAGGAATTCAGGGCAGGCTGCTGTAAGAATGAGACAGCAAAGACTGGAACTAGGGAGACTCAGTTATGGGAGTCTTACGTAATTATTTACAAGGAGACGGGAAGAGGTGTTAGTAAGCATGTTCTGGGTGGTCCTTTTGGTGCACAGACACAGTGGCTGTACATGCTTATATGTCACATATCTCATTAACATCTTAAATCTTCACACACGTGTTTATTTTTTACTATTATAATGAGTAAAAGGTCAGTTAGAGGACAAGTAAAATCAAAATGTGCATGTTCTCTACAGGGGAATTTCCCTACTGAAGAGAGCTTTGCTTGAATGGCTGAAATACAGTGTAAATGCTGGGGCTTATCGTGTTGACAATATGCAGTCAGCATGCAATTGCTGTGGTTGCTGCATCCCGAGGACATCGTCACTTTCTTGACTACCTAGCCTGCCTCAATAGTACTTGTCTTGATTTATTCTAAATTATCAACCCTGAGACTCAGATTTAGCTGTTATGTCAACAATGTCAACAGTGGAAAAGTCAAAATTTTTAAATCAAACATATTTGAGCTTGTTGGGTCACTAGCTGTGTATCCAAGAGAAATTATTTGACATCCCTGGAGCTTCAATCTTCATTATTAATATAAAACACTATTTCCCCTAAGGCTACTTTAATTCATGAATGATAGCTATAATACTTGTCTAAGTATTAAATATTAAAAGAAAAAATCATTCATATTTCAAAGATATGAGCGGGTATATTTTGTCATATTTATTCTTTTCTAAAAAAGTCATAATTGTATTAATTTTTTCTAGAATAACGGACTATGGGTATCTAAGTTATGACTTTGCTAATTTTTACATATGGTAAAACTGCTACTGTTAAATTTGGGTTAAATTTTAAACCCACTGTTTTTTAGCTTGTGTGATTTTTTGTTCATTTGGGGAACAAAATATGTTAGATGTTGACTGTTTGGGGTAACTTGGGTTCATTTCTGCTGTCTTTCTGTTATTCCATCTGGGGATTTAGAAATGACTAGGATTAAATTAAGGTTGGTTTGGAATCAAGCAACAGAAAATCCCAGAAAGGACTAAGGAAAATAGCTACTGGATACTGCCTTTCAGTGAGATTTATACATGAAACAGAGTTTAATGAAATTCATAAAATTATTGCAAGTTTTTTAAATTTAGAAACTAATTGCCTACAACATATTAGGCACTTGTCTTAGTTTGTCTATGGCAACCGTACGTTGGGGAAGCTGATATTACAGAAAAGGATATTGCTACTGTAATAAGATTTGGAACAAATGTTTATGTGCTTATGAACAGTCCCCCCTAATAATCCTTAGAGACGTGTCATTCTGGCTCAATCCTTTTGGCATGACTCTAATTCCAGAGACTCCTTCCCACCAAAGCAAGCCATGGAGTTTTCAGCTGCTTATGCTTATTTTCAGTTAGTAAGCTTCATAGTTGATGTCATTATATTGGGGTCCCCAGGAATCCCTGAGCCTTAGGGCTGATCATCCTACCCCATCCTTCTTGCTTCTCATGCTCTGTTGTTGAGTCCCTCTCATTCTATATTTGAGCCTTCACAAGACTTCAGTTTGGATAAACCAGAGAAATGGGTTGCCATATGTATTGAGTTGACAATCAGAATCCGTTTGAGGATAAAGACTTTACATTTATTGTTCATACTAAGTACAAAGCAGTATTTTTAAGATGTGAAAATGTTTTATTCAAACTGAATATAAATAATTTTTTTTTAAGATGGAGTCTCGCTCTGCCACCCAGGCTGGAGTGCAGTGGCAGGATCTTGGCTCACTGCAACCTCCACCTCCTGGGTTCAAGGGATTCTCCTGCCTCACCCTCACTCCTGAGTAGCTGGGATTACAGGTGTGCACCACCACACCCAACTAATCTTTGTATTTTTAGTAGAGACGGTGTTTCACTATGTTGGTCAGGCTGGTCTCAAACTCCTGACCTCATGATCCGCCCAACCTTGGCCTCCCAAAGTGCTGGGATCACAGGTGTGAGCCACCGCACCTGACCCAATATAAGTGATTTTATTGGTATGCCAATGTGATCAAAATAATTGTATCAAGTTCACCAAATGTTCTGCTTTAGACTCTACCAACACAAAGATCAATATGTACACACTGGTCAAGTTAGTTTTTTTGGTGTATGGTTTTGTTTGTTTACATTTTTAAAGATTTTTTTCTACTTAATGCTGATGTTCAACTACACAAAGCTTACCAAAAGCACTATTTCACCACATTTTCAACTAAAAATTTAAATACTTAAATATTGAAAGTGACATTCTGGATTACCCTTTTCCTTATGATGGAGTCTGCGTTAATTAGTCCTCCATTGCAGTTTTTCTTTACCTGGTGCAAGGTTATAGAAACGCCATCCAGTTGATTTTGATTTATTAGGTAACAGTAGAATCTGTTTTCTCAGGCAGTAGCATGAGAATTCTTGATGTACTACCTTTACATGTACTGAAAGCAACTGGATAAATTTGCTGAAATTTGTCTTTATTCTTAAGGTCATTAGAGCCTTAGTCATAGCAACACATGTTATAGTTCAGTCCAATACTTTTTGTCTAAAATTTTGTTGAGCTGCATGCATCTGTATATGTAACTCGGTAACAGCTTCTTTATTCTAAGCCAGAACTCATTTTACCTGCTGGTTTTGTTTTAAATATATGAGCTTTATTATATAACATTTAAATAAGTAATAGAAATGAATTCAGAGGTTATGGAAAGAAAAGTACAGGCACACTAAAAACGAATTGGAATCTGGCAGCTGACACTGATTAACAGGTTGAGCAGATTGGACTAGACCTACATTCCTGTAAACAATATTGAAAGGGAGAATTTTAATTGAAAACATCTTCAATAACATAATATACCTATGAGATTTGAAAAAAATTGATTTGTTTACCCATCATCAATCAACACTAGGTTAAACTAGAACATTTTGAACACATTATTCCAAAAATGAAATTAGTAAATTATTCTCAGACTTAATATGATTAAAACAAGACTTCTGGGTATTTGAAAGCACCAAATTATTGATGAAAGATATCCATTTTAAATAGATTCTTGATCTTATATATATATTACTACTAAGTAAAACCTAACACTGATAGCTTTAATATATGAAATATTTGTGAATGTCTATCACTGTAGTGAAAAAATCAAATTATTTAAACTTACTAAATTTTGATTAAAATATTTGGATATTTGGTATTTTATCCAAATATCCAATGTGGGCATTGGACATTGAGTGCCAGTGTCCACATAGTATGGCAAAGCACCCATTTCTTTAGTATTCTGTTATTTTATAAAATAAGCCAGAATTTGTGGAGACATTTGTAAAACAAAAATAAAAACAAAACAATCTTTTCTAAAAAAAATCTAGACATTAGAAAATAGAGATACTAATGTTAGATTATATAAACAGTTTGCTGAACCCTACAGTAATCTGTGAAGTTTTTTGGGGGGGGGGGTACAACAATCTTAGGTTACCTAAAACAAAATGAAGTCTCTTATGTTAAGCTTAACACACAAAAGTTTAAAATATATCCAGACAGACAGGAACTGTGGCTGCCACTTTAAAAAAACAAATGTTTCAGCACGCTACACTGTTTTATGTATGAATAGATGGAAAACCAGACTTTGAAGTTTTCAAATTTGTGACTGTAAGCCTTAAATATATAAAACAAATACAGTTTATTCTTCTTAATTTAAAATATACTGTTCTTGGAACATCAAGTGACATTAGACTATCAAAAACTTCATAAGTCATGCAAGTGTCAACTGTATTTTCAAAATTATAAGAACATAGAACAAGTAAACTAAACCGCTACAGTTTAGTTAAAAATAATAATAATAAACTACTCTGTATTTGCCCTTGTGATGAGAATCACTTTTATTCATTTTGGAACAAACAGGAAATGCTGCGGTG
The DNA here is from genome assembly GCF_000001405.40 of Homo sapiens. NCBI lineage: Eukaryota > Metazoa > Chordata > Mammalia > Primates > Hominidae > Homo > Homo sapiens. The sequence goes on along the minus strand of NW_003315964.2, from coordinate 71,307 downwards.
GTAACTTGCTGAGTGGTGACTGTGATGAGATTTACTGCCCTAGGGATGATGGGATCCAGTGGACCAGAATCGTCAGCACCTTACCATGGTCACTGCTGTCCTTTCTTTCTGTCATTCATTTCTCAAACTTCTTCATCAATTCCGTCTCTATCGTTGTGTGAACGGTTTTGCACTGCTTTAGCATCTGCCTTTGATTTCTGCTAATTTTTCATCTTTCTAGTCCATCTCTGGTGGCTGCTTTGCTGTTCCACTTTGAGGAGTTCGCACAACTTCACCCTCAGGTGTTCCAACGGTCCGTCCATTTTTGTGGTTCTTCTGTTCCTGGCGTCTGAGATTTGTCAGCAGGGCCTGGTTTTCAGCGACCATGCCCTCTTTCTGCCGGCAGGGCGGCTCCTGCACTTCTGGCGGGCGCCGGTTCCAGCCACGGCTTAGCCAAGCACAGCAGGAACCGCAGGAGCAGATGGAGCGCCCACGTCCGGGGTGGCCCAGCCGGTGGACGCCTCGGCTCTAACCCTTGGTCATGGCGCAGCTTGGTGCGCAGAAACCCGATGTCAACCAGAGCATTTTGTGCAGCTGGGCGAGCTTTCCTTGGCATGCGGGGCAGTTCCCCCATCATCTTCATGCTGCCACCTCGCCTTTCATCAGAGAGTTACACAGGATGGTGCAGGGGCCTGGAGACACCGTGGAAGAGTCCAAAGGAGTGAGGAGGGGCTGGGCTGGGCAGCCTCAGGCCCAGGACATGGCGGCGCCCCTCATGCCTGAGCAGAAATCGGCCACTGCCACCTCCGGGAGGACAGTGGGGCCCAGGCTCCCCCAGCTAGCCTCACTCTGCACCAGCAGAGGAAAGAATTATTTTCTAAAAAAACAAAAAGTATGGAGGAGAACTTGCGGATCTGACCGAATCAAATTTTCATTTTTCTTTTTCTTTCTTTTTTTTTTTTTTTTTTTGCCATTTCCCCTTAAATTGTGCTCTCCTGAAGTCAGGTTTCATGTTCCATCCTCATGTGGCAATTTAAATGTAATTATAATGGTCCCAAATTTAGAAACTAAAAATTTTAATGGCCGGGCCAGGTGGCTCACGCCTATAATCCCAGCACTTTGGGAGGCCGAGGCAGGTGGATCACCTGAGGTCAGGAGTTCGAGACCAGCCTGACCAACATGGGGCAACACCGTTTCTACTAAAACTACAAAATTAGCTGGGCATGGTGGCGCATGCCTGTAATCCCAGCTACTCAGGAGGCTGAGGCAGGAAAAATCGCTTGAACCCGGGAGGTGAGGTTGCGGTGAGCCCACATCGCACCATTGCACTCCAGCCAAGGCAACAAGAGTGAAACTCCGTCTGAAAAAAAAAAAAAATGTATTTTACCCATGTGTGCTGGGTTAACATTAAACTTTCTTTTTTTTTAAATTTTTATTTATTTAGTTTTTTTATTGATCATTCTTGGGTGTTTCTCAGAGAGGAGGATTTGGCAGGGTCATAGGACAATAGTGGAGGGAAGGTCAGCAGATAAACATGTGAACAAAGGTCTCTGGTTTTCCTAGGCAGAGGGCCCTGGGGCCTTCCGCAGTGTTTGTGTCCCTGGGTACTTGAGATTAGGGAGTGGTGATGACTCTTAACGAGCATGCTGCCTTCAAGCATCTGTTTAACAAAGCACATCTTGCACCGCCCTTAATCCATTTAACCCTGAGTGGACACAGCACATGTTTCAGAGAGCACAGGGTTGGGGGTAAGGTCATAGATCAACAGGATCCCAAGGCAGAAGAATTTTTCTTAGTACAGAACAAAATGGAGTCTCCTATGTCTACTTCTTTCCACACAGACACAGCAACAATCTGATTTCTCAATCTTTTCCCCACATTTCCCCCTTTTCTATTCGACAAAACCGCCATCGTCATCATGGCCCGTTCTCAATGAGCTGTTGGGTACACCTCCCAGATGGGGTGGCGGCCGGGCAGAGGGGCACCTCACTTCCCAGAAGGGGCGGCCAGGCAGAGGCGCCCCCCCACCTCCCGGACGGGGCGGCTGGCCGGCCAGGGGCTGGCCCCCCCAACCTCCCTCCCGGACGGGGCGGCTGGCAGGGCAGGGGCTGACCCCCCACCTCCCGGACGGGGCGGCTGCCAGGCGGAGACGCTCCTCACTTCCCAGACGGGGCGGCTGCCGGGCGGAGGGGCTCCTCACTTCTCAGACGGGGCGGCCGGGCAGAGACGCTCCTCACTTCCTAGACGGGATGGCGGCCGGGAAGAGGCGCTCCTCACTTCCCAGACTGGGCAGCTGGGCAGAGGGGCTCCTCACATCCCAGACGATGGGCGGCCAGGCAGAGACGCTCCTCACTTCCCAGATGGGGTGGCGGCTGGGCAGAGGCTGCAATCTCGGCACTTTGGGAGGCCAAGGCAGGCGGCTGGGAGGTGGAGGTTGTAGCGAGCCGAGATCACGCCACTGCACTCCAGCCTGGGCACCATTGAGCACTGAGTGAATGAGACTCCGACTGCAATCCCGGCACCTCGGGAGGCCGAGGCTGGCAGATCACTCCCAGTTAGGAGCTGGAGACCAGCCCGGACAACACAGCGAAACCCCGTCTCCACCAAAAAAATATGAAAACCAGTCAGGCGTGGCAGCGCACGCCTGCAATCGCAGGCACTCGGCAGGTTGAGGCAGGAGAATCAGGCAGGGAGGTTGCAGTGAGCAGAAATGGCAGCAGTACAGTCCAGCTTCGGCTCGGCATCAGAGGGAGACCGTGGAGAGGGATAGGGATAGGGATAGGGATAGGGATAGGGATAGGGATAGGGATAGGAATAGGAATAGGGAGAGCAACATTAAACTTTCGATAGTGCTTTCTGCATTCTACACTTCATTATTTTCTATTTGATTTTATTAACTAAACTATAGAAAATAAAAATAATAAAGGCTTGATTTGCATAGTTTCACAGTTTACAAAGAATATGTATTCATTCTTTTAACCAATAAATGTATGTGGAGCACACATGATATGCCATCCTTTTGGTAGCCTTAGAAAATAAAATAGAGAAAGGAAAGTTTTGGTCTCTACTCTCATGAAACTTGAAGTCTAACTACATAAACGCCTTACACACTCCTGATAAGTGGATACTTCTGAAGTTTCCTATAAACCTCCTATCCCAATCTGACTTCAGGAGAGCACAATCTAAGAGGAAAAAGCAAAACAAAAAGAAAAAGAGAATGAAAATGTGATTGGGTCAGATATGCAAGTTCTACTCCATACTTTTGTTTAAGAAATAGTTTTCCGGTGAAACCCCGTCTCTACTAAAAATACAAAAAATTAGCCGGGCGTAGTGGCGGGCGCCTGTAGTCCCAGCTACTTGGGAGGCTGAGGCAGGAGAATGGCGTGAACCCGGGAGGCGGAGCTTGCAGTGAGCCGAGATCCCGCCACTGCACTCCAGCCTGGGCGACAGAGCGAGACTCCGTCTCAAAAAAAAAAAAAAAAAAAAAAAAAAAAAAAAAAAAAAAATAGTTTTCATCTCTACTGGTGCAGAGGGAGGCTGGCTGGGAAGCCTGGGCTTCTCTGTCCTCCCTGCAGTGGCAGTGGCTGATCTGATTTGTGCTCAGGTATGAGGGGCACCACCATGCACTTGGCCTGAGGCTGCCTGTCCCAGCTCATCCTCACTCCCCTGGACTCTTCCATGGTGACTCCGTGCTCCTTCCTCATCCTGTGCATCCCTCTGATGGTAGAGGAGGAGGCAGCAGGAAGCTGGTGGGAGGGCCTGGCTCCACAAACTGAGGAGGGTTCACCCAGCTATGGGAAATGCTCTGGATGACCTTAGATTTCTATGCAGTTAGCTGGACCTCATCCCAGGGTTACAGCCAGGGTGTCCCTGAGCTGGGTGACACCAGATGTGGATGCTCTGGCTGCTGCTGTTGTTTCTGTAGAATCAGCACCCACCAGAAGTGCAAGAGCCACCCTGCAGGTGGAACGAGGTGGTAGCCATGGTTCCTGAAAACCACGCCCTGCTGACAAATCTCAGATGCCACAAACAGAAGAACGGGGAGAAACTGTCCAAGAGCTTGAGCCAAATGAATGGACTGCTGGAGCAGCTGAGGGTGAAACCACCTGAACTTCTCAAACTGGTACAGCAAAGCAACCACCAGAGATGGACAAGAATAATAAAAAGTCAAAGAAAATTAGCAGAAGTTAAAGGAAGATGCTAAAGCAGTCCAAAATTATTCATGCCACAATAGAAATGAAGTTGAAGAGGAGTTAATACAGGATTTATTAAGAAACTGTTTTAGGCAGTTTAAGTGGGTAAAAGAGTTCTCACTGGAATTTTCCTTTAATAAAAAGCAGCCCCCAAACCATTTTATTCCTAACAGAAAGTAGCCTAAAAAGTCAAACTGCAAGCTTATAAGCAAGCTAGAGGGTTGCATATGTAAATAGAGGCAGCTGTACCAAAAGCCAGTTATATTTCAACATGGAAACTTCCCCCTCTTTTCCTTTTCACCCTGTGTGTAGGTGTCATGGTCACAGCCAGGTAGAAGCTGCATTTGCATAATAAAAGGCTAGGGTGGGGAGCCAGTGTTTTCACTGGCTATGTAAATGGCACTCCTGGTCAACCAAACCCCTGGGCCCTATGTAAATCAATCACTGCCTCCACAAGCCTCTCTACAAAATCAATCGTGTTCTACCCCAAACCCAGAAACTCTTCTGGGTGACCTGCTTTCTCAGCATGAGGAAGCTTTCTCTCTTCTTTTTTGTCTATTAAACTTTCTGCTCCTAAACCCACTCCTCCTGTGTGTTTATGTCATACATTTTCCTGGCATTAGACAATGGACCCCAGGTATTTACCCCAGACAGTGCAGCCATTTCATCTGGGAGCTTGTCCAGGATCAGAACAAAATACAGAATCATCGGAGTGGTGAGTATGGAGTGACCATCAAATCTGACCTTTAATCTCAAGGCTCTCAACCTCCATTTTAAAATACTTCAGGCTGGGCACAGTGGCTCACGCCTGTAATCCCAGCACTTTGGGAGGCTGAGGTGGGAAGATCACCTGAGGTCAGGAGTTTGAGACCAGCCTGGCCAACGTAGTAAAACACTGTCTCTACTAAAAATACAAAAAATTAGCTGGTGTTGTGGCAGGCACCTGTAATCCCAGCTACTCGGGAGGCTGAGGCAGGAGAATCGCTTGAATCCAGGTGGCGGAGGTTGTGGTGAGCCAAGATTGCACCATTGCACTCCAGCCTGGGCAACAAGATCGAAACTCCATCTCAAATTAAAAAAAAAAAAAAAAAAAGAATGATACAGCAAAGGCTGGAACTAAGGAGATTCCATTTATGAGAGTCTTACATAATTATTTATAAGGAGGTGGAAAGAGATGTTACTAGTAACCATGTTCTGGGTGGTTCTCTTCGTACACACACTCAGTACCTGTACATGTTTCTTTATATGTCACATATCTCATTAGCATCTTAAATCTCCACACACGTGAGTGTTTTTTACTATTACAATGAGTAAAAGGTCAGTTAGAGGACAGGTAAAATCAAACTGTGCTCTCTACAGGGGAATTTCCCTGCTGGAGAGAGCTTTTCTTGAATGAGCTGAAATCCAATGTAAATGTTGGTGCTTATTGTGTTGGCAGTCTGCAGTTGTCATGCAATCACCATGGTTGCCGCATCCCCAGGACATAGCCACTTTCTTGATTACCTAGCCCGCCTCAATAGTACTTGATTTATTCCCCAACTATCAACTCTAAGGCTCAGATTTAGCTGTTATGTCAACATTGTCAACAGTGGCAAAATTAAAATTTTTAAATCAAACATATTTGAGCTTCATTTGGGTCACTAGCTGTGTATCCAAGATAAATCATTTTACATTTCTGGAGCCTCAATATTCATTATTAATAAAAATTATTTCCCCCAAGGCTATTTTAGTTCATGCATGGTAGCTATAATACATGAAAGTCTTGTCTAAATATTATATTAAATACTTAGGAGAAAGAAAATCATATTTCAAAGATATAAGTGAGTTGGTATATTTTGTCATATTTAGTGTATTTTTTCTTTTTTAAAAATGCCAAAATAAGAATTTTATTATTTTTTCTGGAATAACAGAATGTTTCTAAGTTATGACTTTGCTGATTTTTACATATGGTTTTCTGCTACTGTTGAATGTAGGTTAAATTTCAAACCCACTGTTTTTTAGCTTGTGTGGTTTTTGGGGTCATTTTGGGGAACAAAATATATTAGACATTGACTGTTTGGGGAAACTTGGTTTCATTCCTGCCCTCTTTCTTTTATTACATCTAGGGCTTCAAAAATGACTAGGATTCTAATAAGGTTGATTTGAAATCAAGCAACAGAAATTCCCAGAAAAGTCTCAGGGAAATAGCTACTGGATAGTGTCTTTTTGTGAGATTTATACATGAAACAGAGTTCAATAAAATTTATAAAATTATTGCAAGTTTTTGGGCCAGGTGTGGTGGCTCACCCCGGTAATCCCAGCCCTTTGGGAGCCCGAGGTGGGTGGATCACCTGAGGTCAGGAGTTCGAGACCGGCCTGGCCAACGTGGTGAAACTCTGTCGCTACTAAAAATGCAAAAAATAGCTGGGCATGGTGGCAGGCACCTGTAATCCCAGGTATTTGGAGGGCTGAGGCAGGAGACTTGCTTGAACCTGGGATACAGAGGTTGCAGTGAGCCGAGATTGTGCCACCACACTCCAGCCTGGGTGACAGAGCGAGACTCTATCTCAAAAAAAAAAATTGCAAGTTTTTTAAATTTAGAAACTAATTGCCTTCAACATATTAGTGCCTTGTCTTAGTTTGTCTACAGCAACCCTACCTTGGGGAAGCTAAAATTACAGAAAAGGATATTGCTACTGTAATAAGTTTTGGAACAAATACTTATGTGCTTATGAACATTCCTCCTTAATAATCCTTAGATACATGTCATTCTGGCTCAATCCTTTTGGCAGGACTGTTTGTAATTCCAGAGACTTTTTCTCACCAAAGAGAAGCCATGGAGTTTTCAACTTTTTTTTTTTTTTTTTTTTTTGAGATGGAGTCTCACTCTGTCACCAGGCTGGAATGCAGTGGTGTGATCTCGGCTCACTGCAACCTTCACCTCCCGGGTTCAAGCCATTCTCGTGCCTCAGCCTCCTGAGTAGCTGGGATTAGAGGTGTGCGCCACCATGCCCAGCTAATTTTTGTATTTTTAGTAGAGACGGGGTTTCACCACGTTGGCCAGGATGGTCTTGATCTCTTGACCTTGTGATCCGCTTGCCTAGGCCTCCCAAAGTGCTGGGATTACAGGCATGAGCCACCATGCCCAGCCTCAGCTTTTTATGTTTATGTTTACTAGTGAGCTTCATAGTTGACATCATTATATTGGGGTCCCCCAGGAACCTCTGAGCCTTAGAGCTGACCATCCTACCTCATCCTTCTTGCTTCTCATGCTCTGTTGTTGACTCCCTCTCACTTCATGTTTGAGCCTTCATGAAACTTCAGTTTGGAGAAACCAGAGACACGGGTTGCCATATATCTTGAGAATCAGGATCCTCTTGAGGATAAAGACTTTACATTTATCATTCATGTTACAAAACAGTATTTTTAAGATGTGAACATGTTTCAGTGAAATTAAATAAAATGATTTTATCAGTATGCCAATGTGATCAAAATAACTGTATCAAGTTCACCAAATGTTTTGCTTTAGACTCTCCCAAAACAAAGATCAATATGTATGCACTGGTAGATGTTAGTTTTTTTGGTGTAGCTTTTTGTTTGCATTTTTAAAGATTTTTTTTCTACTCTATGCTGATGTTAAGCTACACAAAGCTTACCAAAAACTTAATTTTATCACATTTTTCAAGTGAAAGGTTAAATACTTTTTTTTTTTTTTTTTTTTTGAGGCAGAATCTCACTCTGTAACTCAGGCTAGAATGCGGTGCTTCAATCTCAGTTCACTGCAATCTCTGTCTCCTGAGTTCAAGCTATTCTCTTGCCTCAGCCTCCTGAGTAGCTGGGATTACAGGTGCTTCCCACCATGCTTGATTTTTGTATTTTTAGTAGTGATGGGTTTTACCATGTTGGCCAGGCTGGCCTTGAACTCCAGACCTAAAGTGATCCACATGACTCAGCCTCCCAAGTGCTGGGATTACAGGCATGAGTCCCCATGCCCAACCTAAATACTTACATATTGAAATTGACATTCTAGATTATTCTTTTCCACATTATATCGTCTGTAATTATTAGTACTGCATTGCAGTTTTTTCTTGCACAAGCTTATAAAAATATATCCAGTTGATTTCTTAGATAAGAGAAGAATCTGTTTTTTCAGACAGTAGCATGAGAATTCTTGACATACTATCTTTAGAGATACTGAAAGCAACTGGATAAATTTGCTGAAATTTGTCTTTGTTCATAAGCCCACTAGAGGCTAAGTCATAGCAACACACGTTGCCATAGTTCAATTCAAATTTTTTTGTCTAAAATCTTGTTGAGCCACATCCATCTATGTATGTAACACTAACTTGGTGACAGCTTCTTTATACTAAACCAGAACTCATTTTACCTGGTGGTTTTGTTTTAAATGTATGAGCTGTGCTATATGATATTCCAATAACTAATCAAAATGTAATTCAGAGACTATGGAGAAAAAGTCACATAGGCACACTAAAAATGAGTTGGAATCTGGCAGCTGACACTGATTAACAGGTTGAGCAGATTAGACTAGACCTAAATCCCTGTAAACAATATTAAAAGAAAGAATTTTTATTAATAACATCCTTGACAATGTAATAGGCCTATGAGATTTGAAAAGAAATTGATTAGTTTACCCATCATCAATCCATATTAAACTATCAAATTTTGAACACACCATAAAAAATAAAATTAGTAAACTATTCTTAGAGTTAATCTGATTAAAACAAGACTTCTGGGTATTTGAAAACACCAAATTATTGATGAAAAATACCCATTTTGAACAAATTCTTGATCATATATTATACATCATACATATATGATAATGTATGATTGCATATATGATATGTATGTATGATGTATGATATATATGATCAATAATTTGTTCAAAATGGACATTTTCATCAATAATTTGGTGTTTTCAAATACCCAGAATATATATATATTTTTTAAATACCCAGAATATATATATATATTACTACTAAGTAAAACCTAATACTAATAGCTTTGATTTATAAAATATTTGTGAATTTCTATCCTGTAGTGAAAAATCAAGAAATTATTTAAATCTGCTATCTAAATTTTGATTATAATATTTGGTATTTTAATTAAGTGCATGTATTCATATACTATGGCAAACCACCTATTTCTTTACTATCCTGCCATTTTATAAAATAAACCTGAATTTGTGGAGATATTTGTAAAAAAAAAATTATTTCTAAAAAAAGTTTTGATTTAGACATCAAAATAGATATTAATGTCACATTATAAACATAGTTTGCTGAACCCTACAGTAATCTGTAGTTTGTGTACAACAGTCTTAGATTACCTAAAACAAAAAGTCTCTTTCTTATGTTTAACATGCAAAAGTCCAAAATATATCCAGACAGATGGAAACTGTGACTGCCATCTTAAGATACAAATGTTTCAGCACGATAACACTGTTCTGTGTATGTACAGATGGAAAAACCAAACTTTGAAGTTTTCAAATCATAAACAGGAGTGTAATTTGTGATTCTAAACCTTAAATATAGGAAACAAACACATACAGTTTACTCTTCTTAATTTAAAATATACTGTTCTTTGAACAATTCAAGTAATGTTAGACTATCAAAAATTTCATAAGCCATACAAGTGTCAACTGCATTTTCAAAATTATAAGAACTTAAGAGTAAACTAAACTGATACAGTTCAGTTTAAAAAGTAAACTACTTTTTATTTGCCTTTGTGATAAGAATCACCTGTATTTATTTTGGAACAAACAAGAAATTATATGGTGGTAACTTGCTGGGTGCTGACTGTGATGGTATTTACTTTCCTAGGGATAGGAAGATCCAGTGGACCAGAATCATAAGCACCTTGCCATGTTCATTGCTGTTCTTTTTTTCTGTGACTAAGATTCATTTCCCAGACTCTGAAATGGCTGCATTGTCTGGGGTAAATACCTGGGGTTTGTTGTCTCACACGAGGAAAATTTAGAACACGAACACACACGAGGATTGATTTTGGGGTGGAAAGTTTAATAGACAACACGCCTGTAATCCCAGCACTTTGGGAGGCCGAGGCAGGTGGATCACGAGGTCAGGAGATCGAGACTATCCTGGCTAACACGGTGAAACCCCGTCTCTACTAAAAATACAAAAAATTAGCCGGGCGTGGTGACGGGCGTCTGTAGTCCCAGCTACTCGGGAGGCTGAGGCAGGAGAATGGCGTGAACCCGGGAGGCAGAGCTGGCAGTGGGCCGAGATGGCGCCACTGCACTCCAGCCTGGGCGACAGAGTGAGACTCCGTCTCAAAAAAAAAAAAAAAAAAAAAAAAAGAAAGTTTAATAGGCAAAAATAACAGAGAGAGAGAAAGCTCCTCATGCTGAGAAACAGGGTCACCTAAAAAATTTCCTGGTTGCGGGTAGAACACAATTGATTTTGTAGAGAAGCTTGAGGAGTCAGTGATTGATTTACATAGGGCACAGGAGATTGGTTGACCAGGTGTGCCATTTACATAACCCATGCAAAGGCTGGCCCTCCCACCCTAGTCTTTTATTATGCAAATGTAGCTTCTACCTGTCACCATGATACCTGCTCACGTGGCTTTACCTGGCTGGTGCCATGACACCCACACAAGTGGTGTCAAAGAAAAAAGAGGAGGAATTCACCTCTGTTGAAATGTACTTGCCTTTTAATACAGCCGCCTGCATTTACAAATGAAAGTCTCCAGCCTGCTTATCAGCTTGCAGCTTGACTTTTCAGGCTGTTTTCTGTTAGAAAAGAATTGGCTTTGGGGCTGCTTTTTATTAAAGAAAAATTCTAGTGAGAGAACTCTTTTACCCTCTCTAAATGCCTAAAATAATTTCTTAATAACTCCTATATTATTCTCCCCTCAGGAGACGTATTCCTAACTGCTGTTAGGGGGTGTCAGATGACGAATCTTTCAAGATACTTCCTGCTGAAAAGGGCCATCATGTTGGGGAACAGCAGTTAGGGCTCCTCCTGAGGTTGATCTAAGAGTTCTTGAAAAAAAATGGTGTGTCCAGGCCAGGTGCAGTGGCTTATGCCTGTAATCCCAGCACTTTGGGAGGCCGAGGCAGGTGAATCACCTGAGGTCAGGAATTCAAGACCAGCCTGGCCAACATGGTGAAACCGCATCTCTAATAAAAACACAAAAATTATCCAGACTTGGTGTTGCGTGCCTGTAATCCCATCTACTAGGGAGGCTGAGGCAGGAGAATTGCTTCAACCTGGGAGGCGGAGGTTGCAGTGAGCCGATATCTCACCACTGCACTCCAGCTTGGGTGACAGAGCGAGACTTCGTCTTAAATCAAACAAACAAACAATAAAAAAAAAGAATGGTGTGTCCTCGTGTGGCTCTGTTTGCAGCACCTAGGCAAAAAAGAGATAATTTTTACCAGAAGGTTTTGAAGACAGGATTAGAATATTCATATTAAGATGACCGCTGCTAGTGGGGTAATACAACCTTATGGTATAATAGCAGAGTTCTACACCTGTTAGTTGTCCCAATGGATTGTAATACTGGTTTGCCTCCACTAGATGTTGCTGTACATTACCAGAAACGTTAATATAAAAGTAACATTTTCTTTGAGAAAAACATACATTTTCCCCTTGACTTGCCATTAGGGAATACTTTTAGGTTTAGGCCATTTTTATAACTTTCAATATGATTGGGAGAAATACATCATCCGGTGGCTAAAGTAACTTTAGTGTTAATCTTGGCAATGCCTTTCCTTTAATTATTCAACTCTTTATTTCCACAGACCATCTTATAACAAACTTTCTGACTTGTCCTAAACATCCATTCTTTAAACAACCAGTCATCTCCTTTTAGAACAAGAATTTAACATACAAGATTCTTCCTTATATAAAATCTTTCTTTATAACTGTCTTTCTGTAGCTTACAGTGCACCATATTACCAATTTTTTTTTTTTTTGAGACAAAGTCTTGCTCTTGTCCCCCAGGCTGAAGTACAATGGCATGATCTCTTGATACCCTACCTTGTTTTAACCTGATTATCTCTCTTAGCTGAGAGAGCCGGACAGACTCCATTTTATTTCCTTCACTTACAGCCCCTTTACCTCCCTCCCTTAAGGGCATAACTAGTGCAAGCTGACTCCAAGCACGTCCAGGAATGCACTTACTGATAAGATATTGAGGCAAGCTGAACCAGCAGCTCCTGGGGACGCACCTAAAACCCCTGCATTTACCTCTTTGTGATAGTTTAAACCCCTGCACCTGGAACTGTTTATTTTTCTGTAACTGCTTCTGTAACCAATTAATTTTTTTAACTTTCTGCCTGTTCTACTTCTGTAAAAATTGCTTTAGCTAAACTCCGCCTCCCCTATTTAGACCACGATATAAAAAAAATCTAGCCCCTTCTTCGGGGCCGAGAGAATTTTGAGCACTAGCTGTCTCTCGGTCACCGGCAATAAAAGGACTCCTGAAATTAGTCTCAGAGTGTGGCGTTTCTCTACAACTCGCTCGGTTACAACATTTGGAAGCCCCAGCAAGATAATTGCCACCTGGTGAGTGCCGGACTCGCTCCAGGCTCTCCTGGCTGGACAGCGGGCTTATAGGGGAGGCACCTCCTGAAGCTGTTCCAGAGACCCGTAGGCCACTGTCTTCCGGAGGGGAACGGATCGACTGCCGGTGTGTGCCCTCCAAAATCAACTCCTGAGTCCTGCATTTCTGGTCCTGGGAAGGTAAGTCAGATCTGACTCTGTTTCTCTGGGAGGGAAGCGGCCCTGACGAGGGCGTCCTTCTGACTCTGCCCATATTCCAGGATGCTGGAGGACGGAGTCCTGGTTTCTGTCAGCCTTCTCTGTTAAGACTAGCCTCTCTCTCTCTCTCTCTCTCTCTCTCTCTCTCTCTCTCTCTCTGTCTTTCTCTCTGTCTTTCTCTCTCTCTCTTTTTATCTCTTCTCCTTCTCTCATTCAGGTTTCTAGGAGACCTCTGTTTTAGAATGGGAATAAAGAATTGTGATAAACTCTGTGTAAGTGTGTGTGTGAATGTGGGGTTCAAGGGCTTGTCCTTGAATTTCCAGTTTGCAGCTCCACGGTGAAAGCTACGGAGTTGGAGTGGGCCCTCACCTGTGGTTCCGTGGCGACCTCATAAGGCTTAAGGCAGCATCGGGCATAGCTTGATCTGAGCCGGTGGGTTTATACCGGTCTGCCAATGCCAAGAGGAGCCTAAGTCCCCTCCGGCGGAGCAGCCAGGTGGGCATCTGGCTGATCCCATCACGGGACCCCCTCCCCTTGTCTGTCTATAAAAATTGTCATAATTGTTTGTATACCCCGGTGTCTCTTGTCCTGTCTGGTGTCTGTCTAAGTTTCACATGTCAGGTCATCGATATTTCCGAAGATGACTGGGCAAGAACTTCTTTAAAGTCCTGAATGCAGATTTTCTAACACAGGAGGTCAAATTTCTCATCAGTCATTTGGGCTGGTCTTCCCAGTCCTGCCTTTTCTGTCAGAAACAAATCAGGTGTTGTTACGGGGAGGCGTGTGGGGAACATTTGCCCGTTTGGGATTTCTGGCACCATAAAGATTGCTAGCATTTGGATTGCCACACCCCATGCCCCAGTGACTGGACCACCTCTGCCTTAGACCAGTGGTGGATTCAAAATAGCCACCCTGCAGTCCTCCTTGCTCACCTTTTCTGTCATCCCATAACTTTTCCCATGCCCTTAGATAAGGCACTGTGCAGAGAAACCTGTGCCCATACTGCTTTACTCCACCTGGATTCTTATTCTATCCCTCTGGCTACTCTCCTACCTTAGAAAAGATCAGAGTGGCCCCTTTCCTCCTCATCCCCATCCCTTACCCCACCCATCTTGTTTTCCTGTGTCACAGCAAGTCCAACGTCCAATGACTCTACTCTCCCTCCTAAAATCCTTAAAAGAAAGGGCCAACTTTAAACTTTTTGCCTTTGAGTCGTGGAGATACCAAAGATATTTGGGCTATAAGTCAGAAAGGAGGGGAGGATCACATAGGTCCCACTGGCCTCAGACCCACCTCTTGTCCTCCCCCTAGATCTCAAAGCTTAAAGAAACAGAACTTATGTGACAAGAAGTGTTGGCTATAGTTGTTTTCCTACTTCTTCTGGTTATAATACTTCTGTTCTTCCTATACTACAGCCCCCCAGATTGTGAATTTCTCTGTCCATGCTGAGTTTAATATTTCGCCTAGACCTTGTTAATTGCCTCCAGAATGGGGAACTCTTCTTCCTGGCCCCATAAAGATTGGAGCCCTTCCAATATACGTTACAAAATTCCTCTCTGGGCTTCTCAGAGGATTATGGAGTCTGCCTTAAGAAAGCAAACTCTGGACACTTTATGAAGTGGAATGGCCACAGTTTGGAACCAGGTGGCCCCTAGAAGGGTCACTGAATCTCACAACTGTGCAGACTGTGTGGCAGGTCATTGCTGGAACTCCCGGACACCCCAATCAGTTTCCTTACATTGATCAATGGCTAGATTTGGTCCAGAGCCCTCCTCCATGGCTCTGCTCATGCACCATTCATGATCCCACCTCCCAGGTCCTTTTGAGCCCGACTGCACTTTTGCCCCAACCCTCAGCTCCCTCGGCTCCTCCTGTACTGCCTCCTTCTAAAGAAGAGGAAAGTTTTCCTCACCCATGTTTGCCACCCTACAACCCTCCTGCTCTCCCAGAATCTTCCCATGTCTCCTTGACTACATGCTCTGTGGCTTCTCCACCTATAGCCACCCAATTACGGCCTCAGCCAGAGGAGGTGGCCCCTCTCCTCCTGCTGAGAGAGGCCCAAATCCCTCCAGGCAGTGAGCGCTCTGCTCCATTTTTAGTTTATGTCCCCTTCTCTACTTCTGACCTGTACAATTGAAAGGTTCATAATCCCCCCTACTCTGAAAAGCCCCAGGTCTTGACCTCACTGATGGAATCCATGCTCCGGACTCACTGGCCCACCTGGGATGCCTGTCAGGAACTCCTTTTAACACTTTTCACCTCTGAAGAGAGGGACTGTATCTGAAGGGAGGCTAGGAAGTATTTCCTTACATCAGCCGGTAGACCAGAGGGGGAAGCCCAAGACCTCCTAGTGGAGGTTTTTCCCTCTACCCGGCCCAGTTGGGATCCAAACTCCTCATGGGGAAAGACAGCTTTGGATGATTTTCACTGGTATCTCCTTGTGGGTATCAAAGGAGCAACTCAAAAACCCATAAATTTATCTAAGACAACTGAAGTTTTCTAGGGGCCTGATGAGTCACTGGGAGCATTTTTGGAACACCTCCAGGAGGCCTATTGGACTTACACCCCTTTTGAGCCAGCGGCTCCTAAGAATAGCCGTGCTATTAATTTGGCATTTGTGGCTCAGGAGGCCCCTGATATTAAAAAGAAATTACAAAAATTAAAGGGATTTGCTGGAATGAATATCATTCAGCTTTTAGAAATAGCACAGAAAGTTTTTGACAATCAAGAGTTTGAAAAACAAAAAGAGGCATCTCAGGCAGCTGAAAAGGCTGCTGACAAAGCATCAAAAAGACAGGCAAAAATCTTAGTGGCTGCCATCCAAGAAGCCAGGAGGGAAGGGCCCCCAGCACAGAGCGCTGGCCAGGAGATCTCGGGTCCCTGCCAAAAAGGCCAAAAAGGTGAGCAGGCTCCTGTACTAAAAAACCAATGTGCTTATTGCAAGCAGATTTGACACTGGAAGAAGGAACGCCCATTAAAACCAGAAGAAAAACCAGAGAATAAAAAGGTCCTCATCCTCCCTGCTGTGGAGGAATATGCTGATTGATGGGGCTGGGTCTCCCTCTCCCTTGGCCCCCGGGAACCCATGGTGTCCGCCACAGTGGGGGGCCGGCCTGTACGTTTCCTAATTGACACCAGGGCAGAACACTCAGTACTGCAAATGCCCTTGGGCAGTGTCTCTAATAAAAAGGTGGCTGTGCAAGGGGATACTGGAGCTATTCAGGAATATCCTGTCACCCACTCATGAGAGGTGAGTTTGGGACAGAAAAGAGCAACCCACTCATTTCTCATAGTCCGAGAGTGCCCCTTTCCCCTCCTTGGATGAGACCTACTTCATAAGCTGAAGGCGTCTATCTCCTTCTTGGCCCAACAAGCTCACCTTGCTTTAGGGGACACAATGCCCACTGCTGTTCAGCTCCTGCTAACCACCCCTCCATCAAAAAAAATCTCTTAGTTTCACCCTCACAAGCACTGGATAATAAAATTAATCCTCTCCTACTGGATTTACAGACTCTCTTTCCTTGAGTCTGGGCTGAGTCAAACCCCCAGGACTGGCAAAGCACTATCTGCCAGTAGTTGTACAACTCCTGGCCACTGCCTTGCTAGTCCAGGTAAAACAATATCCTATGAGTCAGCAGGCTAGAGGGGAAATCTATCCCCATATTCAGCAACTGTTACAAGCTGGTATATTCACACCATGTGAGTCTGCCTGGAATACTCCATCTTTGCCAGTCCAGAAACCCAGAACAAATGATTACCAGCCTGTACAGGACTTGAGAGAGGTTAACAAGTGGACAGTTACCATCCATCCAACTGTCCGTAACTCTTATACTTTACTCAGACTGCTCCCACCAGAACATACAGTATACACTGTCACTGACTTAAAGGATGCCTTCTTGGCTATTCCTCTGGCCCCCAAAAAGCCAACCTATCTTTGCTTTTGAATGGACAGATCCTGGCTCAGGAAACACCACCCAATTAACCTGGACCCAGTTACCCCAGGGTTTTAAAAATTCCCCCACACTTTTTGGAGAAGCTCTCCAACAAGATCTCATACCGTTCTGAGCCAGTCACCCTAACTGTACTCTTCTCCAGTACATGGATGATCTTTTATTAGCTACTGAAATTACTGACAGCTGCCTGCAACATACTAGGGACCTGCTTGGCCTTCTGCAGGAACTCGGGTACCAGGTCTCACCAAGAAGGCCCAGCTTTGTCTTCCCAGAGTTTCCTACCTAGGGTAAAAGATAAACAAAGGAAAAACGGCACTCACCAGTGCTCAAAAGGAAGCCATCCTGCGAATCCCCACTCCCACCACCAAGAGACAGGTATGTGAATTCCTGGGGACCATGGGATAATGTCATTTATGCATACTGGGGTTCACAGAAATCGCTAAGCCCCTGTACACTGCTACCGGAGGGAATGGCCCACTAGTTTGGACTGACAAAGAAGAACAGGCTTTTCAAAATCTAAAAAAGACATTAACTGAGGCCCCTGCTCTTGCCCTCCCAAATATCTCAAAACCATTTCACCTTTTTGTTCATGAGAGCCAGGGAGTTGCTAAAGGTGTACTTACTCAGACTTTGGGACCATGGTGACCCCCAGTGGCCTATTTGTCTAAAAAGCTAGACCCTGTGGTCTCCAGGTGGCCACGTTGTCTGCGAGCCACAGCAGCAAAAACAAGCCTGGTCCAGGAGGCTGATAAACTGACTCTAGGCCAGAATTTAACCCTTACAGCTCCTCATGCCATAGAAACTTTGCTATGAAGTGCTTCTGGCAAATGGATGTCAAATGCTCGCATCCTGCAGTATCAGAGTTTACTGTTAGATCAGCCTTGTTTAGCTTTCTCTCCCACAAGGTGTTTAAATCCAGCTACCTTGCTCCCTGATCCAGACCTTACCACACCTGTCCATGACTGCCAAGAACTGTTAGAGACTATGGAAACTGGCCGACCTGATCTCTGAGATGTGCCCCCAAAGGAGTTGGATGCCACCGTGGTTACAGATGGCAGTAGCTTCCTTGAACAGGGAGTATGAAAGGCTGGTGCAGCCATTCCAACAGAGACAGATATACTGTGGGCCTAGGCACGGCCGGCAGGTACCTCAGCACAGAAGGCTGAATTGGTCGCCCTCACTCAGGCTCTCTGATGGGGTAAGGACAAATGTATTAACATTTACACTGACAGCAGGTATACTTTTGCTACTGTACATGTACATGGAGTCATCTATCAAGAGTGAGGGCTACTCACCACAGCAGGAAAGACTATTAAAAACAAAGAAGAAATTTTGGCCCTGCTTGAAGCTGTTTGGCTTCCTCAGCAGATGGCTGTAATTCACTGCAAAGGACATCAAAGACAGAGCACAGCCGTTGCCTGTGGTAACCAAAGAGCAGACTCTGCAGCTCAAGAGGCAGCTCTGCTCCCAGTCACCCCTTTAACCCTGCTGTCCACAGTGTCCTTTCCACAAACTGACTTGCCAGACCAACCAGAATACTCCCCAGTGGAAGAAAAACTAGCTTCAGATCTTCAGGCCAGTAAAAATCAGGAAGGTTGGTGGATTCTTCCTGATTCCAGAATCTTTATGCCCCCAAGCCTTTGGGGAAACTTTAATCAATCATCTGCATTCTACCACCTGTTTGGGAAGAATAAAACTGGCCCAGCTTCTAAAGAGCCATTTCAAGATCCCCCACCTTCAGGACTTAACTAACCAAGCAGCTCTCTGGTGTATGGCTTGTGCTCAGGTAAATGCCAGATGAGGTCCCAAGCCTAGCCCAGGCCACGGCCTCCAGGGAAGCTCACCAGGAGAAAAGTAGAAAATTGACTTTACAGAAATAAAACCACACCGGACAGGGTATAAATACCTCCTGGTGCTAGTAGACATTTTTTCTGGATGGACTGAGGCATTTGCCACAGAAATGAAACTGCCACCATGGTAGTTAGGCTTTTACTCAATAGAATCATCCCTCGACATGGGCTGCCTGTTGCCATGGGGTCTGATAATGGACCAGCCTTCACCTCGTCCATAGCTTATCGGTCAGCAAGCCATTAAACATTCAATGGAAACTCCATTTCGCCTATCGACCCCAGAGCTCTGGACAGGTAGAATGCATAAACCACACCCTAAAAAACACTCTTACTAAATTAATCCTAGAGACAGGTGAAAATTGGGTAAGGCTCCTTCTTTTAGCCCTTCTTAGAGTAAGATGCACCCCTTACCGGGCTGGGTTTTCACCTTTTGAAATCATGTATAAAAGGGGTGCACTAGCTTGCCTAAGCTAAGAGATAACCATTTAGCAGAAATCTCACAAGCTAATTTGTTACAGTACTTGCAGTCTCTCCAACAGGTATGAGACATCATCCAGCCACTTTTCTGGTGAGCACATTCCAATCCGGTTCCTGCCAGACTGGACCCTGCCACTCTTTCCAACCGGGTTACTTGGTGTATGTTAAAAAGTTCCAGAAAGAAGGACTCACTCCTGCCTGGAAGGGACCTCATACTGTCATTCTCACCACGCCAACGGCTCTAAAGGTGGATGGTATCCATGCTTGGATTCATCACTCTGACATCAAGAAAGCCAACAAAGCCCAGCAGGAAACATGGGTCCCCAAGCCTGGGCCAGTCCCCTTAAAACTGCACCTAAGTTGAGTAAAGCCATCAAATTAATCCTTTTTATTTACCTCTTTTGTTTGTTTCTGCCTATTATGCCGTCTGCTCCATCCTACTCTTTTCTCCTCACGTCTTTCACAACAGGATGTGAGTTTTCAAACACTACTTGGAAGGCAGGAACCTCCAAGGAAGTCTCTTTTGCAGTCGATTTATGTGCTTTGTTCCCAGAGCCTGCCTGTACCCATGAAGAACAGTGCAATCTGCCAGTCGCAGGAGTGGGGAACATCAACCTTGCTGCAGGATTCAGACACACAGGAAGCTAGACCGGAGGTGGGAGCTCTAAAGGTGCAAAAAAAGGACTCCAAGGCGTTGACTTTTACCTCTGTCTTGAAAATCACCCTGACTCTAGTTGTTGAGATTCTTTTCAGTTTTTCTGCCCTCACTGGTCGTGTGTAACCCTAGCCACTTACCCTGGAGGATCAACCTGGTCCTCAACCCTTTCCATAACTCACAATTCCCGTCCTAGACCGTGTACTATAAAAAATTGTAGCCCTCTCACTATAACTGTCTGTAACCCTAATTCAGCTCAATGGTATTATGGCATGTCATGGGGATTAAGGCTTTGTATCTCAGGATTTGATGTTGGAACTATGTTCACCATCCAAAAAAAGGTCCTGGTCCCATAGAGCCCTCCTAAGTCAACCAGGCCTTTAACTGATTTAGGTGACCCTATGTTCCAAAGACACCCAGACAGGGTCAATTTAACTATCCCACCACCACTCCTTGTTCCCAGATCTCAGTTACAACAACAACATCTCCAATCCAGCCTGATATCCATTCTGGATGGGGTACATCACCTCCTAAATATCATCCAGCCTAAACTAGCCCAAGATTGCTGGTTGTGCCTGAAGGCCAAACCCCCATGGTATGTTGGGTTAGGAATAAAGCCATGTTCAAAGTTAACTCTCTTTCTTGTCATACACAGCCCCATGCCCTTACACTAGGAGAAGTGTCAAAGAACACCTCCTGTCTAATTAGCTCTGGGTATAACTTGTCTGCTTCTGCCTTTCAGGCTACCTGTAATCATTCTCTACTTACTACCTTAAACACCTCAGTCTCCTACCAGGCACCCAACAATACCTGGCTGGCCTGCACTTCTGACCTCACTTGCTGCATCAGTGGGACTTAACCGGGGCCTCTCCTGTGAGTGTTGGTTCATGTGCTCCCCCAGGTCTATGTGTACAGTGGGCCAGAGGGACAACTTCTCATTGCTCCCCCTGAATTACATTCCAGGTTTTGCTGAGCTGCCCCACTCCTTGTGCCCCTTCTGGCCAGCCTTAGCATAGCTGGATCAGCAGCCATCAGCACAGCTGCCCTTATTCAAGGGGAAACTGGACTAATGTCCCTGTCCCAACAAGTAGATGCAGATTTAAGCAATCTCCAATCAGCCAGAAATATACTGCATACCCAGGTAGAGTCTCTAGCTGAAGCAGCCCTTCAAAACTGCTGAGGCTTAGATCTACTATTTCTCTCCCAAGGAGGGTTATGCGCAGCTCTGGGAGAGAGTTGTTTCTATGCCAATCAGTCTAGAGTCGTAAAAGATACACCCCCAAAAGTTCAAAAAAATCTAGATAGATGCCAACAGGAATGAGAAAGTAACACCCCCTGGTACAAAAGCACCTTTAACTGGAATCCATGGCTAACTATCCTAATTACTGGATTGGCAGGACCCCTTCTCCTCTTCCTGTTAGGTTTAGTCTTCGGGCCTCATATATTAAACTGGTTTCTTAACTTTATAAAGCAGCACATAACTTCTACCAAACTTATGTATCATAGAACCCAACATACCCCCTTGTTATAACCAAGGAATCAATTATTTGATTCCCCAAAACACGAGTGGGGAATGTGATACCCTACCTTGTTTTAACCTAATTGTCTCTCTTAACTGAGAGAGCCAGACAGACTCCATTTTAGTTCCTTCACTTACAGCCCCTTTGCCTCCCTCCCGTAAGGGCATAACTAGTGCAAGCTGACTCCAAGCACATCCAGGAATGCACTTACTAATAAGGTATTGAGGCAAGCTGAACCAGCAGCTCCTGGGGACATGCTCAGTGGATGGCCCCTAAAACCCCTGCATTTATCTCTTTGTGATAGTTTAAGCCCCTGCACCTGGAACTGTTTATTTTTCTGTAACTGCTTCTGTAACCAATTAATTTTTTAACTTTTTGCCTGTTCTACTTCTGTAAAAATTGCTTCAGCTAAACTCCCCCTCCCCTATTTAGACCACAATATAAAACAAAATCTAGCCCCTTCTTCAGGGCCAAGAGAACTTTGAGCACTAGCCATCTCTTGGTCGCCGGCAATAAAAGGACTCCTCAATTAGTCTCAAAGTGTGGCATTTCTCTACAACTCACTCAGTACAATCTCAGCTCACTGCAACCTCCACCTCCTGGGTTCAAGTGATTCTCCTGCCTCAGACTCCCAAGTAGCTTGGATTACAGGTGCCTGCCACAATGGGTTTCACCATGTTAGCCAGGCTTGTCTCAAACTCCTGACCTCAGGTGATCCGCCCGCCTCAGCCTCCCAAAGTGCTGGGATTACAGGCATGAGCCACTGCACCCAGCCCATATTACCAATATTTAATGAAAAGTCCTATCAAGCTCAGTGAAGTAAAACTTTCATGCTTACTTTTGTCTGTAGCTATTACCTCTGATACAAGGATAATAATTAAGCAAAACAACCTTCACTAAATCCTGCAATTATTAATACTGTTATAAGTATGATAACTCGGCCAAGTATTATAGCAATTAGAATTTTGCAATCAGAATTACACATTACGGGTGCCAAAGTGTATAGTTCTGCAAATAGTGGAGTGAGTATAACAATTCGTGCAAGAGTTGCATAATAGATAATTTTTTTTTTTTGAGACAGAGTTTCGCTCTTATTGCCCAGGCTGGAATGCAATGGTGTGATCTCAGCTCACCACAACCTCCACCTCCTGGGTTCAAGTGATTCTCCTGCCTCAGCCTCCCGAGTAGCTGAGATTACAGGCATGCGACACCACGCCTAGCTAATTTTGTATTTTTAGTAGAGACAGGGTTTCTTCATGTTGGTTAGGCTGGTCTCGAACTCCCAACCTCAGGTGATCTACCCAACTCAGCCTCCCAAAGTGCTGGGATTACAAATCTGAGCCACCATGCCCAGCAATAATTTTTGTTTAAAATTTTACTTGCCAAGAAATAACATTTTCCTTTGGGGTTCTATGAAATTACAAATGCAAACCCATGTATAATTAAAATCTCCCTGCATGTATGCATTTTTAAATGTTCTAATATTTTAAGATATTAAAGTAAATTTTGAGAGAAAAGGGCAAAAATTTAAAAAATTATTTAGTGAGGAGTAAATGAGACTGAGTAAGATGAGTAGACCTCACTTATCTTTTATGGTTTTCAGCTTAAGTTCTTCTATTTTTTCACATTGATATTGAGGACGTTCCTCTGGGCCATCAGGGGTTGCTCCCTCAGCTCTTCAGGCTTTGATTTGAGTGTCATGTATTCAGAACTTGATACCTGTAACTTTTACTGCTGAGGGAGAAGAACAGTGCAGGGCCCTTCCTAGCTTGGCTTAGGGAAGCAGAGAAGGGAGAGTTTTCACTAATACCAAATCTGGGTTAAATAGAGATGGTTCTATTTCCTGAGGTTGGACTTTTTCTAGTTGTGTTAATTACTGTTGGAAGTTCCTAAGTGAAAATCTTGGTGCAGGATTTTAATGACTTTCCATTGGCTGGAGGCTGGCAAATGGAGTTTGCCATCCCCTGACTGTAGCCATCCTGAGGGATGGAAAGTATGCCCTCAAGAAATGGCTTATTTTGGCTGGGCACAGAGGTTCATGCCTGTAATCCCAGCACTTTTGGAGGCCGAGGAGGGTGGATCACCTGAGGTAAGGAGTTTGAGACCAGCCTGGCCAACATGGTGAAACCCTATCTCTAATAAAAATACAAATATCAGCCAGGCATGGTCGCGGGCACCTGTAATTCCAGCTACTTGGGAGGCTGAGTAACGAGAATCTCTTGAACCCGGGAGGTGGACGTTGCAGTGAGCCGAGATCATGCCACTGCACTCCTGCCCGGATGAAAAGAGTGAGACTCCATCTCAAAGAAAAAAAAAAGTGGCCTATTTTATTTCTGCGAAAAATACTGAGGTTTAATTTCTCTTATAGGGCCTTCCTAGATTAAAAGGACTTGAAGTATATTGATGCCTTGGGGCTTCCTTGCCACTGACTTAGTTGCCTGCTTAGCTAACCTATTTCCTTTGGCTATTTATTTGTTCATTTTGATGTCCCTTATAATGCATCACTGCCATTTCTCATGGAAGGAAAACTGAGGATAATAACCTGTTAATTTCCTGGTGATATTTTATAGAAGATCCATTAGTGGTAAGAAAATGTCTTTCCTTTTAAATGGCAGCATGAGCATGGAGAACTAAGAAAACATGCTTGGAGTCAGTGGAAATGTTAGCTACCTTTCCCTTGCTTAATTCAAGTGCTCTTGTAAGAGCTGTTAGTCCAGCTAATTGAGCACTTGTGTCTGGAGAGAGACATTATTTACAGTGACTACTGCTTATCCTGGCCTATGTATTTATTGCTATACTGGTTGGTTGTTAGCTAAGGGCTCCACCTAGAAGACAGTAATTCTGCCACATTACGTGGGTTGTAAACAGTTAAGTTATTTCCTAGGGTTAGAGGCTTTTCTGACTAGTACAGCTACCGTGACAATGGCTTGGAGGCATACGTAAATAACAAGTGCTCCTAACTGCAACTAAGAGATTGAGAAAAATATTACAGTTTTTCCTGAGATGCCCCTTTACAGTCATGCTATGGGAAGAGGGGAGGCCTGGATTCGAGAGGTAATTTAGTTGTAAACCCAGTGACCTCTGTCTCTGGAGGCAGTTTGATTTCCAGTGGCCTTCATCACATGCTGGACAGGGTCGAGATGGCTTCTTCTTGCTGTTTGGGCATTCCTTCTTAAAATGCCCTGACTTACCACACCAATGGCAACTAGCAGATGCACCTCAGGGATCCTGGACTTTGCAAGCTTCCAAAGCAGCTACTAGAGCTTTATCCTCCTGACTTTTCTCTCTTTCTCTTGAGCCTCCTCCTGGTCCCTATTATAAAAGAACAAAGTGGTCACCTTCAGGAGGTTCTCTAAGGTGCTATCTGGTCCTATAGCTTGTTTCTGTTGTTTCCTTCTGTATCAATAGCTGTCTGTGTAATAAACTTGTTCTTTAGAATAAGCTGTCTGACGACTGAATCAGGGAATAAGGAGGTGTGCTTTGTTAGTGCTTCTCTCAGCCTTTCCATAAAGGCTGCAGGATTCTCATCTGGCTTTTGGTCAATCATAGACAGTTTAGAATAATTGAGAGGTTTGGCCTTGAGAGTTATTTGTAGGCCCTCTTATATGCATATTAAAAAGTGTTTCTGCCAGGCGCAGTGGTTCATACCTGTAACCCCAGCACTTTGGGAGGCCGAGGTGGGTGGATCACCTGAGGTCAGGAGTTCGAGACCAGCCTGGCCAACATGATGAAACTCCATCTCTACTGAAAGGACAAAAATCAGCTGGGTGTCCTCCCACACACCTGTAATCCCAGCTACCTGGGAGGCTGAGGCAGGAGAATTGGCTTGAACCCAGGAGGTGGAGGTTGCAGTGAACCAAGATTGGGCCACTGCACTCCAGCAAGTGGGCAACAGAGCAAGACTCTATCTTAAAAAAAAAAAAAGTATTTCCTTTTCCATTCATCTGCAGAGCTATTGGGGTTCCAAGGGTTGTCAAGAGGAACTGCTTCACTTCCTATTGGAAATGGTGTTTCTGCTATTTCTTCACTTTCCCTATCTCCCTTTTTTCCTTTTTGGCGTATTATAGGAGATTTGTTGCTCATCTCCAAAATCCTCTGCTGCCTGCAGAACTGCCTGCTTTTCAGCTGTGGTTGGGGTTTGTTTTAGAAGCAGCATAACATCCTTTCATGTGAGGTGAAACACCTGAGTTAAATTCAGAAATGCTTCTATATACCTATTGGGGTTGTCAGAAAATCAGCCTGTCTTCCTTTACTTGCCTAAGGTCTTGTTATGAGAAGGAAAGTTGAGGTGGCCCCAAATAAGGGACACTCTTAGATGGTTCCACCAGAAGTTGCTTTCTAATTTGGGGGAGTTATTCTCTATGAGCCTGCCTGATATGACTATTAAAAAAACATGGGTTGAGCCAGGCACGGTGCCTCATGCCTGTAATCCCAGCACTTTGGAAGGCCAAGGTGGGTAGATCTCCTGAGGTCAGGAGTTCAAGACCAGCCTGGTCAACATGGTGAAACCCCATCTCTACTAAAAATACAAAAATTAGCTGGGTGTGGATGTGGGTTCCTGTAATCCCAGCTACTCAGGAAGCCAAGGACGAGAATCACTTGAACCTGGGAGGCAGAGGTTGCAGTCAGGCGAGATCACACCATTGCACTCCAGCCTGGGCAACAAAAGTGAAACTCAATGTCAAAACAAACAAAAAAAACCTGGGTCAATCTTATGACACTTGCAAAAGTTTAGTATAAATACCATGCCCCATGCAAAAAATAAAAAATAAATAAATAAAATAAAGTCACTTTTCTCTTCAAAGTCCTGAGGTTAAAGGAGTTCTGGTGTTTCAGAGTACACTCCAGAGAGTTGCTGAAGTTGGTCTGTTACCCATCTAGAAAAAGAATTGAGAATAGGCTGGGCATGGTGGCTCATGCCTGTAATCCCAGCAATTTGGGAGGCCAAGGCAGGCAGATCACTTGAGGTCAGGAGATTGAGACCAGCCTGGCCAACATGGTGAAACCCCATCTCTACTAAAAATACAAAAATTAGCTGGGCATGGTGGCACGTGCCTGTAATCCCAGTTACTTGAGAGGCTGAAGCAGGAGAATCGCTTGAACCCAGGAGGCAGAGGCTGCAGTGAGTCAAGATCAAGCCACTGCACTCCAGCCTGGCCAACAGAGTGAGACTGTATCTCAAGGAAAAAAAAAAGTAAAATAAGTGAGAATAAAAGCATTCTTTTAGTCTCCCTCCTTTTGATGTGACCCAGGGTGGAGGAAAAAACAGTTGAAGCATCTCCCTGACTGTTTTTTCTCCTTTGTTCCTGGGTCCCAGCACCATGTTAAATGTGCCACCCATGGTTATAGGTATGGCCCTCCAAGCCATGGAACTGGATGAATGAAGTGATGGGATTTAACAACAATTACCCACACAGCCTTAGTTATCCACTATGACTACCCTTTGACTTTCTAAACTTGTGTGATCTGCCTGGCACCCCAAAGAAAGGATCTCTGGAGAAACTGTGTAATGGTAGCATGTAGGCAATGGTTACACCTTCCTCCTTAATGGAGGAAGTATGCTGGTTTGAGCTCTATATCCTGCTATTACGGCCCATGCTAAAACATTTTCCCTTAGAAAACAGTTCCAATTAACTTCTGGACTTAAAATTGCCTTACTAATTAAGTAC
Organism: Homo sapiens; assembly: GCF_000001405.40. Classification (NCBI taxonomy): domain Eukaryota; kingdom Metazoa; phylum Chordata; class Mammalia; order Primates; family Hominidae; genus Homo; species Homo sapiens. The sequence continues at coordinate 44,288 of NW_003315964.2, read as the reverse complement.
TCTTCTAATTGGAGACAGAATAACGGCTTTTATTTATTGATTTATTTATTTGCTAATGGGATAGCATTGGAACAAAATTTGGTTATGGAGGATATTTTTCTTTTTCTTTTTCTTTTTTTTTTTTGACATGGATTCTTTTTTTTATTTTTTATTTTATTATTATTATACTTTAAGTTTTAGGGTACATGTGCACAATGTGCTAGTTACATATGTATACATGTGCCATCCTGGTGTACTGCACCCATTAACTCATCATTTAGCATTAGGTATATCTCCTAATGCTATCCCTCCCCCCTCCCCCCACCCCACAGCAGTCCCCAGAATGTGATGTTCCCCTTCCTGTGTCCATGTGTTCTCATTGTTCAATTCCCACCTATGAGTGAGAACATGCGGTGTTTGGTTTTTTGTCCTTGCGATGGTTTACTGAGAATGATGATTTCCAATTTCATCCATGTCCCTACAAAGGACATGAACTCATCATTTTTTATGGCTGCATAGTATTCCATGGTGCATATGTGCCACATTTTCTTAATCCAGGCTATCATTGTTGGACATTTGGGTTGGTTCCAAGTCTTTGCTATCGTGAATAATGCCGCAATAAACATACGTGTGCATGTGTCCTTATAGCAGCATGATTTATAGTCCTTTGGGTATATACCCAGTAATGGGATGGCTGGGTCAAATGGCATTTCTAGTTCTAGATCCCTGAGGAATTGCTGCACTGACTTCCACAAGGGTTGAACTAGTTTACAGTCCCACCAACAGTGTAAAAGTGTTCCTATTTCTCCACATCCTCTCCAGCACCTGTTGTTTCCTGACTTTTTAATGATTGCCATTCTAACTGGTGTGAGATGGTATCTCATTGTGGTTTTGATTTGCATTTCTCTGATGGCCAGTGATGATGAGCATTTCTTCATGTGTCTTTTGGCTGCATAAATGTCTTCTTTTGAGAAGCATCTGTTCATATCCTTCGCCCACTTTTTGATGGGGTTGTTTGTTTTTTCTTGTAAATTTGTTTGAGTTCATTATAGATTCTGGATATTAGCCCTTTTTCAGATGAGTAGGTTGCGAAAATTTTCTCCCATTTTGTAGATTGCCTGTTCACTCTGATGGTAGTTTCTTTTGCTGTGCAGAAGCTCTTGAGTTTAATTAGATCCCATTTGTCAATTTTGGCTTTTGTTGCCATTGCTTTTGGTGTTTTAGACATGAAGTCCTTGCCCATGCCTATGTCCTGAATGGTAATGCCTAGGTTTTCTTCTAGGGTTTTTATGGTTTTAGGTCTAACATTTAAGTCTTTAATCCATCTTGAATTAATTTTTGTATAAGGTGTAAGGAAGGGATCCAGTTTCAGCTTTCTACATATGGCTAGCCAGTTTTCCCAGCACCATTTATTAAATAGGGAATCCTTTCCCCATTGCTTGTTTTTCTCAGGTTTGTCAAAGATCAGATAGTTGTAGATATGCAGCATTATTTCTGAGGTCTCTGTTCTGTTCCATTGATCTATATCTCTGTTTTGGTACCAGTACCATGCTGTTTTGGTTACTGTAGCCTTGTAGTATAGTTTGAGGTCAGGTAGCGTGATGCCTCCAGCTTTGTTCTTTTGGCTTAGGATTGACTTGGTGATGCGGGCTCCATTTTGGTTCCATATGAACTTTAAAGTAGTTTTTTCCAATTCTGTGAAGAAAGTCATTGGTAGCTTGATGGGGATGGCTTGACATGGATTCTTGCTCTGTCACCCAGGCTAGAGTGCAGTGGCATGATCTCAGCTCACTGCAACCTCCGTCTCTAGGGTTCAAATGATTCTCCTGCCTCAGTCTTCCAAGTGCCTGGGAATACAGGCACCCACCACTGCGACTGGCTAATTTTTGTATTTTTAGTAGAGATGGGGTTTCAACATCTGGGCCAGGCTGGTCTTGAAATCCTGACCTCATGACCCACCGGGCACAGCATCCCAAAGTACTGGGATTACAGGCATGAACCACCGTGCCTGGCTGACATTTTTCTTTTAATTGTTGAAGGCAGACCTTTCCCATTCACAGAAGAGGCATAGAGCCTGATTTTTAGCAGTGCAAAAAGGGAGGAGAGTTGGGAAACTACAGTGCATGGCAAAGGACTGACAATGTGCCTCATGAAGAGGATTTCTATTGCCACTTCGTTGCACTGTTGGCTTGGAAATACCACGTGCTCCCCAGTACTGCAGGATTTACCAAGACTTCCTGCACATTGCATACACAGATAGGATAGAAGACACAGTAACCACAGACAGGAAAGAAGAAAAATTTTGTGACAAGATAGTTGGAGATCCTTTACCAACACGTAGATGAGCTGTCAAAGGCTGGATTCAGTCCAGAAGCCTTGAATAACACCAGGATGTGCCCTGGCCAGAAAACCTCAGTTGTTCCAGGACTTCTCCCAGCCTCATACAATGGTTAGATTCTCTGTGAAAGGAAACTGGTCCAAAGCATTTTAACATGGAGACTGAGAGCCTTGAAATTAAAGGACAGATTTGATGATCACTCCATACTCACCATTCCAATGATTCTATATTTTGTTCTGATCCTGGACAAGCCTCCAAATGAAATGGCTGCATTGTCTGGGGTAAATACCTGGGGTTTGTTTTCTCATGCCAGGAAAATTTATGACACAAACACACAAGAGGAATGGGTTGAGGAGCAGAAAGTTTAATAGACAAAAAGAAGAGAGAGAGAAAGCTACATCATCCTGAGAAAGCAGGTTGCCCAGTAGAGTTTCTGGGTTTGGGGCAGAACACGATTGATTTTGTAGAGAGGCTTGAGGAGGCAGTGATTGATTTACATAGGGCCCAGGGTATTGGTTGAACAGGCATGCCATTTACATAGCCAGTGAAAAGACTGGCTCCCCGACCGTAGCCTTTTATTATGCAAACGTGGCTACTACCTGGCTGTCACCATGACATCTGCACTCATGGTGAAAAAGAAAAGAGGGGAAAGTTGCCATGTTGAAATATACCTGGCTTTTAGTACAGGCATTTCCATTTACATATGCAACCCTCTAGCTTGCTTATAAGCTTGCGGATTGAGTTTTTAGGCTGCTTTCTGTTAGGAATAAAATGGTTTGGGGGCTGCTTTTTATAAAAGGAAAATTCCAGTAAGAACTCTTTTACCCTCTTTAACTGCCTAAAATAATTTCTTAAGAACTCCTGTATTAACTCCTCATGAACTTCATTTCTATTGTGGCATGAATGATTTTGCAGTGCTTTAGCATCTGCCTTTAACTTCTGCTAATTTTCTTTGACTTTTTATTATTCTTGTCCATCTCTGATGGTTGCTTTGCTGTACCAGATTGAGAAGTGCAGGTGGCCTCACCCTGAGCTGCTCCAGCAGTCCGTTCATTTGGCTCAAGCTCTTGGGCAGTTTCTCTCCGTTCTTCTGTTTGTGGCATCTGAGATTTGTCAGCAGGGTGTGGTTTTCAGGAACCATGGCTACCACCTCGTTCCACCTGCAGGGTGGCTCTTGCACTTCTGGTGGGTGCTGATTCTACAGAAACAATAGCAGCAGCCAGAGCATCCACATCTGGTGTCACCCAGCTCAGGGATGCCCTGGCTGTAACCCTGGGATGAGGTCCAGCTAACTGCATAGAAATCCAAGGTCATCCAGAGCATTTCCCATAGCTGGGTGAACCCTCCTCAGTTTATGGAGCCAGGCTCTTCCACCAGCTTCCTGCTACCACCTCCTCTACCATCAGAAGGATGCACAGGATGACACAGGGGCACGGAGTGACCACGGAAGAGTCCGGGGGAGTGAGGATGATCTGGGCCAGGCAGCCTCAGGCCCAGTGCATGGTGGTGCCCCTCACACCTGAGCAGAGATCAGATCAACCACTACCACTGCAGGGAGGACAGAGAAGCCCAGGCTTCCCAGCCAGCCTCCCTCTGCTCTAGTAGAGATGAAAACTATTTCCTAACAAAATTATGGAATAGAACTTGCATATCTTACTCAATCACATTTTCATCTTTTTTTCTTTTTGTTTTGCTTTTTCCTCTTAGATTGTGCTCTCCTGAAGTCAGATTGGGGTAGGAGGTTTATAGGAAACTTCAGAGGTATCCACTTCTCAGGAATGCATGAGGATTTTATGAAGTTAGACTGAAAGTTTCATGAGAGTAGAGATCAAAACTTTCCTTTCTCTATTTTATTTTCTAAGGCTACCAAAATGATGGCATATCATGTGTGCTCAACACACATTTATTGGTTAAAGGAATGAATACATATTCTTTGTAAACTGTGAAACTATGCAAATCAAACCTTTATTATTTTTATTTTCTATAGTTTAGTTAACAGGATCAAATAGAAAATAATGAAGTGTAGAATTGAGAAAGCACTATTGAAAATTTAATGTTAACCTAGCACTCATGGGTAAAATACATTAACATTTTTAGTTTCTAAATTTGGGACCATTATAATTACATTTAAATTGCCACGTGAGGATGGAACATGAAATCTGACTTCAGGAGAGCACAATTTAAGAGAAAACGGCCAAAAAAAAAATGAAAGAAAAAGAATGAAAATTTGATTGGGTCAGAACTGCAAGTTCTTCTCCATACTTATTTATCTATTTGTTTATTTATTTATTTATTTATTTTTAGAAAATAATTTTTTCCTCTGCTGGTGCAGAGCGAGGCTGGCTGGGGAAGCCTGGGCCCCTCTGTCCTCTCCGAGGTGGCAGTGGCTGATTTCTGCTCAGGCGTGAGGGGGCGCCATCATGCGCTGGGCCTGAGGCTGCCCGGCCCAGCCCCTCCTCACTCCCCTGGACTCTTCCACGGTGTCTCCGGGCCCCTGCACCATCATGTGTAACTCTCTGATGAAAGCGGAGGTGGCAGCATAAAGATGATGGGGGAACTGCCCCGCATGCCGAGGAAAGCTCGCCCAGCTGCGCAAAATGCTCTGATTGACGTCGGGTTTCTGCGCACCAAGCTGAGCCATGACCAAGGGTTAGAGCCGAGGCGACCCCGGACGTGGGCGCTCCATCTGCTGCTGCGGTTCCCCCTGTTCTCGGCTAAACCGTGGCTGGAACCGGTGCCCGCCAGAGGTGCAGGAGCCGCCCCGCGGGCAGAAGGAGGCGGTAGCCGTGGTCCCTGAAAACCAGGCCCTGCTGACAAATCTCAGACGCCAGGAACAGAACCAGGAATAATGCCCGACAGCTTGAGCCAGATGGACGGACTGTTGGAACACCTGAGGGTGAAGCTGCGCGAACTCCTCAAAGAGGAACAGCAAAGCAGCCACCAAGATGGACCAGAAAGATGAACAAAGAAAATTAGCAGCAATCAAAGGCAGATGCTAAAGTAGTACAAAACCGTTCACACAACGATAGAGACGGAATTGATGAAGAAGTCTGATAAATGAATGACAGAGTGAAAGGACAGCAGTGACCATGGTAAGGTGCTGACGATTCTGGTCCACTGGATCCCATCATCCCTAGGACAGTAAATCTCATCGCAGTCGCCACTCAGCAAGTTACCACTGCAGCATTTCCTGTTTGTTCCAAAATGAATAAAGGTGATTCTCATCACAAGGGCAAATACAGAGTAGTTTATTATTATTATTTTTAACTAAACTGTAGCTGTAGCTGTTTAGTTTACTTGTTCTAAGTTCTTATAATTTTGAAAATACAGTTGACACTTGTATGACTTATGAGGTTTTTGATAGTCTAATGTCATTTGATGTTCAAAGAACAGTATATTTTAAATTAAGAAGAATAAACTGTGTGTATTTGTTTTATATATTTAAGGCTTAGAGGCACAATGCTTCTGCTTATGATTTGAAAACTTCAAAGGTTGGTTTTCCATCTGTTCATACACAAAACAGTGTATCGTGGTGAAATGTTTGTTTTTTTTAAAGTGGCAGCCACAGTTCCTGTCTGTCCGGATATATTTTGGACTTTTGTATGTTAAGCAGAAGAAAGAAACTTCGTTTTGTTTTAGGTAATCTAAGATTGTTGTACGCACACAAAAAAACTTCACAGATTACTGTAGGGTTCAGCAAACTGTTTATATAGTGTAACATTAGTATCTCTATTTTCTGATGTCTAGATTTTTTTTAGAAAAGATTGTTTTCGTTTTTGTTTTTTTAACAAATGTCTCCACAAATTCTGGCTTATTTTATAAAATTGCAGAATACTAAAGAACTGGGTGCTTTGCCATACTATATGAATACTGGCACTCAATTAAAATATCAAATATTTTAATCAAAATTTAGATTTAAATAATGTCTTGATTTTTCACTACAGTGATAGACATTCACAAATATTTCATATATTAAAGCTATCAGTATTAGGTTTTACTTAGTAGTAATATATATATAAGATCAAGAATCTGTTCAAAATGGATATCTTTCATCAATAATTTGGTGCTTTCAAATACCCAGAAGTCTTGTTTTAATCATATTAAGTCTGAGAATAATTTACTAATTTCATTTTTGGAATAATGTGTTCAAAATTTTCCAGTTTAACCTAGTATTGACTGAAGATGGGTAAACAAATCGATTTACTTTTCAAATCTCATAGGCCTATCGTGTTGCTGAAGATGTTTTCAATTCTCCCTTTCAATATTGTTTACAGGAATGCAGGTCTAGTCCAATCTGCTCAACCTGTTAATCAGTGTCAGCTGCCAGATTCAAATTCATTTTTAGTGTGCCTGTACTTTTCTTTCCATAACCTCTGAATTCATTTCATTTACTGATTTAAATGTGATATAATACAGCTCATACATTTAAAACAAAACCAGCAGGTAAAATGAGTTCTGGCTTAGTATAAAGAAGCTGTTACTGAGTTACATCATACAGGTGGATGCAGCTCCACAAAATTTTAGACAAAAAAAGTTGGACTGAACTATATTGTGTGTTGCTATGACTTAGCCTCTAGTGCCCTTAAGAATAAAGACAAATTTCAGCAAATGTATCCAGTTGCTTTCAGTACGTCTAAAGGTAACATATCAAGAATTCTCATGCTACTGCCTGAGAAAACAGATTCTACTGTTACCTAATAAATCAAAATCAACTGGATGGCATTTTTGTAACCTTGCACCACATAAAGAGAAACTGCAATGTAGGACTAATAAACGCAGACTCCATCACAAGGAAAAGGGTAATCCAGAACGTCACTTTCAAAATTTAAGTATTTAAACTTTTAGTAGAAAAATGTGGTAAAAGAGTGCTTTTGGTAAGCTTTGTGTAGTTTAACATCAGCATAAAGTAGAAAAAATCTTTAAAAATGTAAACAAACAAAACCATACACCAAAAAAACTAATATTCACCAGTGCATACATATTGATCTTTGTGTTGGGAGAGTCTAAAGCAGAACATTTGGTGAACTTGATAAAATTATTTTAATTACATTGGCATACTGATAAAATTATTTATATTTGGCCAGGTGCCGGGGCTCACACCTGTAATCCCAGCACTTTGGGAGGCTGAGGTGGGTGGATCACGAGGTCAGGAGTTCGAGACCAACCTGAACAAATGGTGAAACACCGTCTCTACTAAAAATACAAAAATTAGCTGGGCATGGTGGCTCATGCCTGTAATCCCAGCTACTCAGGAGGCTGAGGCAGGAGAATCCCTTGAACTCAGGAGTCAGAGGGTGCAGTGAGCTGAGATCGCGCCACTGCCCTCCAGCCTGGGTGGCAGAGTGAGACTATGTCATAACAAAAAAAAATTATTTATATTTAATTTGACTAAAACATGTTCACATCTTAAAAATACTGCTTTGTACCATGAATAATAAATGTAAAGTCTTTATCCTCAAACGGATTCTGATTGTCAACTCAATACATATGGCAACCCATTTCTCTGGTTTCTCCAAACTGAAGTCTCATGAAGGCTCAAATATGGAGTGAGAGGGACTCAACAACAGACCATGAGAAGCAAGAAGGATGAGGTAGGATGGTCAGCTCTAAGGCTCAGGGATTCCTGGGGACCCCAATATAATGATGTCAGCTATGAAGCTTACTAACTGAAAATAAGCATAAGCAGCTGAAAACTCCATGGCTTCGCTTCGGTGGGAAGGAGTCTCTGGAATTACAGTCATGCCAAAAGGATTGAGCCAGAATGACATGTATCTAAAGATTATTAGAGGGGACTGTTCATAAGCACATAAACATTTGTTCCAAATATTATTACAGTAGCAATATCCTTTTCTGTAATATCAGCTTCCCCAAGATAGGGTTGCCATAGACAAATTAAGACAAGTGCCTAATATGTTGTAGGTAATTGGTTTCTAAATTTAAAAAACTTGCAATAATTTCATGAATCTCATTAAACTCTGTTTGTGTATAAATCTCACTGAAAGGCAGTATCCATTAGCTATTTTCCTTAGTCCTTTTGGGATTTTCTGTTGCTTGATTCCAAACCAAACTTATTTTAATCCTAGTTGTTTCTAAATCCCCAGATGTAATAACAGACAGCAGAAATGAACCCAAGTTACCCCAAACAGTCAACGTCTAATATATTTTGTTCCCCAAATGAGCCAAAAACCACACAAGCTAAAAAACAGTGGGTTTAAAATTTAACCTAAATTTAACAGTAGCAGTTTTACCATATGTAAAAATTGGCAAAGTCATAACTTAAATATCCATAGTCTGTTATTCTGGAAAAAATACAATTATTATGGCATTTTTTAGAAAAGAAAAATACATTAAATATGACAAAATACACCCACTCACTTATCATATCTTTGAAATAAAAATGATTTTATTCTTACTCTTAAATATTTAATATTTAGATGAGACTTTCAAGTGTTATAGCTACCATTCATGAATTAAAGTAGCCTTAGGGGAAATAGTGTTTTATATTAATAATTAAGATTGAAGCTCCTGGGATGTAAAATAATTTCTCTTGGATACACAGCTAGTGACCCAACAAGCTCATATATGTTTGATTTAAAAATTTTAATTTTCCCACTGTTGACAATGTTGACATAACAGCTAAATCTGAGTCTCAGAGTTGATAATTTGGAATAAATCAAGCCAAGTACTATTGAGGCAAGCTAGGTAGTCAAGAAAGTGACGATGTCCTCGGGATGTGGCAGCCATGGTGATTGCACGGTGACTGCATATTGTCAACACAATAAACCCCAGCATTTACACTGTATTTCAGCCATTCAAGCAAAGCTCTCTTCGGTAGGGAAATTGCCCTGTAGAGAGCATGCACATTTTGATTTTACTTATCCTCTAACTGACCTTTTACTCATTATAATAGTAAAAAACACACACGTGTGTGAAGATTTAAGATGTTAAGGAGATATGTGACATATAAGCATGTACAGCCACTGTGTCTGTGCACCAAAAGGACCACCCAGAACATGCTTACTACTAACACCTCTTCCCACCTCCTTATAATTAATTATGTAAGACTCCCATAAATGGAGTCTCCCTAGTTCCAGTCTTTGCTGTCTCATTCTTTTGGCAGCCTGCCCTGAATTCCTTCTTTCTCAGCAAATGCTGGCTATTCTTCACCTAACTTTTAAAATAGTATTTCTACTTTGCAATAAATCACTCTATGCTGCATCTTCATTGTTTTGTGTCTCTTGTTTAAATTTTTTGAAAGTGAGAAGAATCGAGGTCTCACACAGCCATCAACACTATCATGCTTTGTTTTGTATTCTTTATTATTTCTTCTCTGATATGTCACCATTCACATTTAAAACCCAGACAACACTGCTGTTGGGAGCAAGCCCCCCAAGGCTGGCCATAAATAAAAGCTCTGCAGCACTGTAACATGTTCATAATGGCCCTAACACACACCCTGGAAGGTTGTGGGCTTACGGGAATGAGGGCAAGGAACACCTGGCCTGCTCAGGGCAGAAAACCACTTAAAGGCATTCTTAAGCCATAAACAATAGCATGAGCGATTTAGGCCTTAAGGACATGCTCCTGCTCCAGTTAACTCGCCCAACATATTCCTTTAATTCAGCCCAGCCCTTAGTTTGCCATAAGGAATACTTTTAGTTAATTTAATGTCTATAGAAACAATGCTAATGACTGGCTTGCTGTTAATAAATACGTGGGTAAATCTCTGTTCAGGGCTTTCAGCTCTGAAGGCTGTGAGACCCCTGATTTCCCACTTCACACCTCTATATTTCTGTGTGTGTCTTTAATTCCTCTAGTGGCACTGGGTTAGGGTCTCCCTGACCAAGCTGGTCTCGGCAAGTGGCGTCCATTTGTGGGGGCTTCAATCCAGGTCAAAGGGTCACCGGAGCAATGGTTGGAATGGAAAACTAGCTGGAGGACACCCGAGTACTCTTAAAGCAATCCCCATGGTGAGTAAGAAGGGGAGCTCAGAAGTGTCAGGGTAACAATGGGACAGGTATGGGGTCTGGTTCATTTTACCTTGGAACTTTTTCACAATGATGAGGAGGAGGAATGAGAGTATAGCAAAGTAACAGTAGAGGTTACAGACCAGGTTTATTTGCCAGCTAAAGCTAAAGTGGCAAAGGAAGGAGAGGTTCATCCCTACCCTTCTGCACCCCCTCATTATTATTTTGAAGAAAAAGAACCTTCAGATCTTTCTTTTCCAGAGGACACTGGGTGAAAACTAGTTGCCCCAGTGACTGTTCGAGCAGCACCTCGAGCGACCGCTCTTAGTTCTATTCAGGCAGGAATTCAGCAAGCTAGACGAGAGGGTGATTTAGAGGCTTGGCAGTTCCCCATTAGAACACAACCCCCAGATCAACAGGGAAATATTACAGCTACATTTGAGCCTTTTCCTTTGAAATTACTCAAAGAATTAAAACAAGTTATAAATCAGTATGGACCAAGTTCTCCTTTTGTAATGGGACTATTAAAGAATGTTACTGTTTCCAGTCAGATGATTCTTACTGACTGGGATGCTCTTACTCGAGCTTGTCTAACTCCTGCTCACTTCTTACAATTGAAAACTTGGTGGGCAGATGAAGCTTCCATTCAGGCTGCTCACAGTGCCCAGGCCCAACTTCAAATTAATATAACTCAGACCAACTTTTGGGGGTTGGCGGTTGGGCTAGTTTAGATGCACAACTGGTCATGCAGGATGATGTCATAGAACAGCTTAGAGGAGTGTGCATTAGAGCTTGGGAAAAGACCACTTCAGGTGGGGAACAATACCCTTCCTTTAGTGCTATAAAACAGGGACCAAAAGAACCATACATTGATTTTATAGCTCAGTTACAGGAGTCTCTTATAAAGATGATTGCAGATTCAGCTGGTCAGGTTATAGTGTTGCAATTATTAGCATTTGACAATGCTAACCCCGATTGCCAGGCTGCTCTGTGAACCTATCTGAGGGAAAGCACATTTAGTTGATTATGTCAAGGCCTGTGATGGTATAGGGGGTAATCTGCATAAAGCTACCTTGTTGGCACAGGCAATGGCAGGGCTGAGAGTGGATAAAGGAAATACTCCATTTCCTGGAGCTTGTTTTAACTGTGGGAAGCATGGTCATACTAAAAAAGAATTTAGAAAAAATCACCGAGTCGGGCCACCAGATAGGGGAAAAAAGAAAACTGCTGATCCTGAAATAAGTCCAAAAGGAAAACATTGGGCTAATCAATGTCATTCTAAGTTTGATAAAGATGGGAACCCAATTTCTGGAAATGCCATGAGGGTCCCGTCCCAGGCCCTGTTCTAAACCGGGGCATTTCCAGCTCAGGCCATTCCCTCACCCCTGTACAATGGCTGTCCCCCACCACAGCCAGTAGTGCTGCAGTAGATTCATGCTGCAGAAAAGCTGTGAGCCTTCTGCCTGGGGAACCCCTGCAAAGGGTCCCAACAGGAGTCTGTGGACCCTTGCCAGCAGGGACAATAGGATTACTTTTAGGAAGGTCTAGTTTAAGTTTAAAAGTACAAATATATACAGGAGTCATGGATTCAGATTACAATGGGGAAATTCAAATTGTTATATCTACCTCTGTTTTCTGGAAAGCAGAGCCAAGAGAGTGCATAGCACAGCTCCTGATTGTGCCATATGTGGGAATGGGAAAAAGTGAAATTAAACAAACAGGAGGATTTGGAAGCAGAAATAAACAAGGCAAAGCAGCTTTTTGGGTAAATCAAATTACTGATAAACATCCTACCTGTGAAATAACTATTCAAGGAAAGAAATTTAAAGGTTTGGCAGATACAGGAGCAGACATTTCAATCATTTCTCTACAGCACTGGCTGTCCACGTGGCCAATTCAACCTGCTCAATTTAACATAGTTGGAGTTGGTAAAGCCACTGAAGTATATCAAAGTAGTTAAATTTTGCATTGTGAGGGGCCCGATGGACAATCTGGGACTATTCAACCAATTATAACTTCTGTACTTATAAATTTATGGGGAAGAGATTTATTACAACAATGGGGAGCACAATTTCTAATTCCAGAACAATTATATAGCCCTCAAAGTCAACATACAGTGCATGAAATGGGGTATGTCCCTGGTATGGGACTAGAAAAAAATTTGCAAGGTTTGAAAGAACCACTTCAAGTGGAAAAACAAAGTTCCCAACAAAGATTAGGAAATAATATTTGATGGTGGCCATTGTTAAGCCTCCAGAGCCTATACCTTTAAAATGGTTAACAGATAAGCCAATTTGGATAGAATGATGGCTGCTAAATAAAGAAAAACTGGAGGCTTTAGAGATTTTAATTACTAAACAATTAGAAAATGTGCACATAGCTCCAATATTTTCCCCTTGGAATTCTCCAGTTTTTGTAATTAAGAAAAAATCAGGTAAATGGAGAATGTTAACTGACTTAAGAGCCATCAATTCAGTTATGCAACCTACGGGAACATTACAGCCAGGATTGCCTTCTCCTGCTATAATTCCAAAAAATTGGCCTTTAGTAGTCATAGATTTAAAAGACTGTATCTTTACTATCCCTTTAGCTGAACAAGACTGTGAAGGGTTTGCATTTGCAATTCCTGCAGTAAACAACCTGCAGCCTGCTGAGCGTTATCATGGGAAAGTGTTGCCAAAGGGCATGTTAAACAGTGCAACAATTTGCCAGATGTATGTTGGGCAAGCAATTGAACATACTCATAAAAAATTTCCACAGTGTTACATTATTCACTATGTGGATGATATATTTTGTGCTGCCCCTACTTGAGAAATATTACTCCAATGTTATAATCACTTGCAAAATTCAATTTCTCCCACTTGTTTAATTAAAGCTCCTGACAAAATTCAGGCTGCTACTCCTTACTCCTACTTGGGGACCTTAGTAAATGACACTACCATTGTGGCACAGAAAGTAACCATACATAGGGATCAACTAAAAACGTTAAATGACTTACAAAAATTATTAGGGGATATTAATTGGATATGACCTGCTCTAAGCATTCCTACCTATGCCATGAGTAATCTGTTTTCTATCCTTAGAGGAAATCCTAGTCTCACTAGCCCACAGCATTTAACAAAGGAGACTGAGGGAGAGTTACAACTGATTGAGAAGCAAGTCCATAAAGCTCAGATAAATAGAATAGATCCAGAGAAGACTCTGGATTTGCTAATTTTTTCAACTCAGCATTCACATACTGGTGTTATTGTCCAAGAACAGGACTTAGTAGAGTGACTTTTCCTTCCACATACTAATTCACGGACTCTAACTCCTTATTTAGATCAAATTGCTATTATGATAGGGATTGGGAGAACTCAGATTGTTAAATTACATGGATATGATCCTGGAAAAAGTATTGTCCCTCTCACAAAGGCACAAATATAGCAAGCTTTTATAAATAGTCTTACTTGGCAAACCCATTTAGCTGACTTTGTGGGTATTCTTGATAATCATTTTCCTAAAATGAAGCTGTTTCAGTTTTTGAAATTAACTAATTGGATTGTTCCTAAAATAACTAAATGTAAACCAATTGAAGGTGCTGATAATGTTTTTACAGATGGGTCTAGTAATAGCAAAGCTTCTTATTCTGGCTCAAAAAGTGAAGTTTTCCAGACATCCTATACTTCAGCTCAAAAAGCAGAGCTTGTAGCTATAATTGAGGTATTGACTACTTTTGATATGCCTATTAATGTGATTTCTGATTCTTCATACATGGTTCCTTCCACACAGTTAATTGAAAATGGTCAGCTACTGTTTCATACAGATGAACAACTGATGACTTTATTTACCCAATTGCAAACAGCAGTTAGGAGTAGAATGCACCCTTTTTACATCACTCACATTAGAGCTCATACACCTCTTCCAGGACCTTTGACTGAAGGGAATCAAATGGCTGATTGCCTAGTTGCTACTGCAATATCTAATGCTAGACACTTTCACAATTTAACCCATTTTAATGCCTCTGGTCTCAAATGCAGATACAGCATCACCTGGAAAGAAGCTAAAGCTATTATCCAGCAGTGCCCAACTTGCCAAATGGTATATTCCTCATCTTTTACAGGAGGAGTTAATCCTCGAGGACTGGAACCTAACTCTATTTGGCAAATGGATGTGACACATGTTCCCTCGTTTGGGAGACTAGCTTATGTACATGTATGTGTGGACACATTTTCTCACTTTGTCTGGGCTACATGCCAAACAGGAGAGTTTTCTGCTTGTGTTAAATGTCATCTTTTGCAGTGTTTCACAGTGATGGGCATTCCAGCTTCTATTAAAACAGATAATGCCCCAGGCTATACTAGCCAAACTCTAGCTACATTTTTCTCTATGTGGAATATTAATCACATTACTGTCATCCCATACAATTCTCAAGGACAAGCCATAGTGGAAAGAATGAATCTTTCCCTAAAACAGCAGTCACAAAAGTAGAAAGGGAAAAATAGAGAATATGGAACACTGCAGATACAACTGAATCTAGCATTATTAACTTTAAATTTTTTGAACCTTCCCAAAGGCCAGATGTTATCAGCAGCTGACCAGCATCTACAGAAACCAGCTGCAAAGACAGGAACAGAACATCTGATTTGGTGGAGAGATCCGACTACAAAAAGTTGGGAAATAGGTAAAATAATAACTTGGGGTAGAGGTTATACTTGTATTTCTCCAGGCCAAAATCAACAGCTGATTTGGATACCATCAAGACACCTGAAACCTTATCATGAGCCAGATGCTGAGGAAGAGATTCTGGGAGGATCCTGAGGACCCGCCAGTTGCAGCCATGTCCAGGCTGACACTGAGGAGGACCCCAACTGTCACAAGCAACACCCGTCAAACACAGCCACCCACCTGGGGACAGATCAAGAAGCTGTCACAGATGGTGCAAGAAAACCTGAGGAAAGCAGGACAATCAGTCACAATGAATAACTTAATGGTAGCTATGATAGTGGTTATCACCATTGCTGTGAGTATTCCTTCAATAAGGGCTGGTAATAATGCCTGGATGCAATCACTCTATGACACAGTTACACATGCTTTCTGATCTCCGTATTTACCATAATAAATCTGCTCCTATAATTGAGGCATACTGCCCTCAAAAACCTATTTGTAAACAGGATTGGACGCAGTAGAAAAAATGAACGTACTTATTTAGGAAGATTGCTTTGCAGAACAGGCAGAGGTGCTGCAGAATGTTTCCTATGGAATCATTATTAATTGATCCCCTAAGGGGATGTTTAGCTTGAATTGCACCTCTCAGTCTGCATGCCACGGTCACACTATGTTCAGGTGATCTGAACAAAATGGTCAGATGGTAGATATAATAATAAGTATGGCAAAAGTTCCTATTATCTGGAACCATGACGGTATAGTGGCACCTCAACCTCAAATGATATGGCCTGCTCTAGGAGCTTAACATAAGGATTTAAAATTAAAAGAACAAATATTTAAAGCATCCCAGGCACACCTGACCTTAATGCCAGGAACTGGAGTGTTTAAAGGAGGTGCAGACAAATTAGCAGCTAGTAACCCATTAAAATGGATAAAAACACTTGGAAGCTCTCTGATTTCAATGATGGCTGTAGTTTTAATCTGTGTTGTTTGCCTTTGTATAGTCTGCAGATGTAGATCCCGACTCCTGTGAGAAGTAGCTCACTGTGAGAAAGCTGCCCTTGTTTTTATTGATTTGCAAATCAGAGAAGGGGGCATGTTGGGAGCAAGCCCCCTAAAATCTGGCTATAAACTGGCCCCAAGACTGGCCATAAACAAAATCTCTGCAGCACTGTAACATGTTCATAATGGCCCTAACGCCCGCGCTGGAAGGTTGTGGGCTTATGGGAATGAGGGCAAGGAACACCTGGCCTGCTCAGGGCAGAAAACCACTTAAGGGCATTCTTAAGCCATAAACAATAGCATGAGCGATTTAGGCCTTAAGGACATGCTCCTGCTGCAGTTAACTAGCCCAACATATTCCTTTAATTCAGCCCATCCCTTCATTTCCCATAAGGGATACTTTTAGTTAATTTAATGTCTATAGAAACAATGCTAATGACTGGTTTGCTGTTAATAAATATCTGGGTAAATCTCTGTTCAGGGCTCTCAGCTCTGAAGGCTGTGAGACCCCTGATTTCCCACTTCACACCTCTATATTTCTGTGAGTGTCTTTAATTCCTCTAGTGCCACTGGGTTAGGGTCTCCCCAGCTGAGCTGGTCTTGGCAACTGCTAAATTAAAACTTTAAATGATCACAAAATGATTTGTCATAAAAGCATGTATATGGCCAGGCATGGTGGCTCATGCCTGTAATCCCCGCACTTTGGGAGGCCAAGGTGGGCAGATCATCTGAGGTTGGGAGTTCGAGACCAGCCTGACCAACATGGAGAAACCCCATCTCTACTAAAAATACAAAACTAGCCAGATGTGGTGGCACCTGCCTGCAGTCCCAGCTACTCAGGAGGCTGAGGCAGGAAAATTGCTTGAACTCACTCAGGAAGCAGCAGTCGTGGTGAGCTGAGATCATGCCATTGCACTTCAGCCTGGGCAATAAGAATGAAAGTCCATCAAAAACAAAACAAAACAAAAAAACACAGTTAAAATGCCTTTGAAGAGTGAAAATAAAGGACTGATTAAGCAGAGAGTTTGACATGGAAAAAGGCTGGTCAATTGTTTGAAAATTACATTGCTGCTGGGTGTGGCGGCTCAAGCTTGTAATCCCAGCACTTTGTGAGGTCAAGGCAGGCACATCACCTAAGGTCAAGAGTTCAAGACCAGCCTGGCTAACATGGCAAAACCCTGTCTCTACTAAAAATACAAAAATTAGCTGGGTGTGGTGGTGGGAACCTGTAATCCCAGCTACTCAGGAGGCTGAGGCAGGAGAATCACTTGAACCCGAGTGGCAGAAGCTGCCGTGAGCTGAGATTGCATCACTGCACCCCAGCCTGGGAAACAGATCAAGACTTCATCTCAAAAACAAAACAGGTGGGGCGTGGGGGCTCACACCTGAAATCTCAGCACTTTGGGAGGCAGAAGCAGGCAGATCATGAGATCAGGAGTTCGAGACCAGCCTGTCCAACATAGTGAAACCCCGTCTCTCCTAAAAGTACAAAAATTAGGCATGATGGCATGCACATGTAATCCCAGCTACTCAGGAGGCTGAGGCAGGAGAATCACTTGAACCTGGGAGGCAGAGGTTGCCGTGAGCCAAGATTGCGCCACCGCAGTCTATCTTGGGTGACAGAGCAGGACTCCATCTCAAAAAAAAAAAAAAAAATTATTACATTGCCTGCATGGACTACAACTTTTACAATGTAAGATGCATAACATAAACACCACACAACAAAATAGAATAAAAATGACAGAGTCGGCCACAAAGGACAGTCAAAGCTCTATTACAGCAATAGAGAAAAATATATATCTACTGTCAGAGAAAGATAACTTGAAGTACTTGAGAAATGTTCTCCAAAAATGTAAAATTATTTTGTTTTAGTTTCTATAAAAAAAGTTTCTTAAGCATTTTTAACTTACAAAAAAAGTTAAATGCAAGCTGTGTCAGTTTCACTTTTCTGAAGAATTTAAATAGAATAAAATATTACATATCAAAAGATAAACTTTGCTGATAATAAATTTTTAGACTAAAAGTTAAACTTTACAAATTTGTATGCTGATCAATTTGATCAGAAGCCTCTTTCTTAGAACTGGGAGAGATGACACAAAGATAGTGCTTTCACATTGGGTGGGAGAGAAAATGATTACCAGGGGCTAGATAATATTTGTTTCATTAATCAATGCTGATTTTCATTGCTATTATGTCTCAAATTATGTTAATAATTAACTAATGGCCTTAATTCAAGAAATTTTCTAACAACTTATATTTTCAATCAACCTTAATATTAGCCAAAAGAGGTATAGAAATGAAGATATTTAACAGCCATAATTTATATTTTAAAATTATATACTTCCGGAAATCTGTAAAGTTTTCTAGGTAGAGCATTATATCATCAGTGTAAGATAATTTAACTTCCTTTTTTTCTGTTTAGATGCTTTTTATTTCTTTAGTTTGTTGGATTGCTCTAAGACTTCTAGAGTTATGTTGAATAGGAGTGTTAGAGTGGGTATTCTTGTCTTATTTTTATTCTAATGGAGAATGCATGCAGCTATTGCCTTTTCAGTATAATGTTGGCTGAGGATTTGTCATAGATGGCTCTTATCACTTTGAGGTATGTTTCATCAATGCCTTGTGTGTTGAGAATATTTTCATGAATGAATATTGGATTTTCTTCAATGCTTTTTCTGCATCTATTGTGTTAATCTTATAATTTTTGGCTTTTAATTATTTTTACATGGTGAATCGCACTTATAACTTGCATATGATGAAACATCCTTGCATATGTGGAATAAAAATCACACGGTTGTGGCAAAATAACTTTCTCATTTGCTTATGAACTCAGCTTGCCAGTATTTCATGCAGGATTTTTGTTTTAATGTTTATGAAAAATATCGGCCTGGAGTTTTCTTTTTTAGTTGTGCCTTCACTAGATTTTGTTCACTAGATAGTACTGATTTTATATAGTGAGTTAGGGTGGAATCTTACCTTGATTTTTTGGAGTACATTCAGCAGAATGTCTTTGTATGTGGGGTAAAATTTGGATGTGATTTCATATGATCCAGGGCTTTTATGGTTGGTAGTTTATTACTAATTCAGTTTCATTATATATTTTATACACTTTTGCTCTGTTCGAGATCTCTTTATTTCTGGTTCAGTCTTGGAAAGCTGTTTGTATCGAGGAGTTTATTTATTTTCTCCAATTTTTTTTATTTTTTTGAGACAGAGTCTCACCCTGTCACCCAGGCTGGAGTGCAGTGGTGCGATCTAAGCTCACTCTCACTGCAATTTCTGCCTCCTGAGTTCAAGTGATTCTCCTGCCTCAGTCTCCTGAGTAGCTGGGATTACAGGTGTGTGACAACATTTCTGGTTAATTTTTTTTATTTTTATTTTTTGTACTTTTAGTAGAGATGAGTTTTCACCATATTGGCCAGGCTGGTCTCTAACTCCTGACCTCAGGTGATCTGCCCATCTCAGCCTCCCAAAGTGCTTGGATTACAGGTGTGAGCCACCTTGCCCAGCATATTTTTTCCAAATTTTCTAGTTTGCCGGCATAGAGGGGTTTCATAGTAGTCTCTCATGATTTTTTGTATTTATGTAGGATTAGTTGTGATTTCACATCCCTAATATTTAAATAGATGCAGAGAACAAAAAGAAAAGAACAGAAGCAGAATAAAAGTTTGACAAAAGTTGACATTCCCTTATGATAAATCTCTGAAAAAATTAGGTATAGAACAAATGCACCTCAGTCAATAAATGCCACATATAACAAAAAAATGCACAGCTAACAACATACTAAACAGTGAAATATTATAAGCTTTTACTCTAAAAGCTAAAACAAGACAAAGATGTCCATTCTAATCAGTCTTACTAAACATAGTTCTGAAAGTCCATGACAAAGAAATTAGAGAATAAAATCAAAGGCATCTAGGTTAGGAAGAAATTACATTATCCCTGTATAATTATCTTTTATTGCTGTACATAACCTGAAATACAGAAAAGCCTAAGAATTTACTATAAAATATTAGAATAAACACATTTATTAAGCTTTCAGAATACAAAAGCAACATCCAAAAGTCAGTAGCATTTATGTACACTAACAACTATCTCAAAATGAAATTAAAAAATAATTCCATCTCAATAACTGTAGTATACTTTGAAATAAACTTAACCAAAAAGTTGAAACACCTTACATTACACTGTAAATAACATTGAATAAATTAAGTAATGCACAAATGAAATATTACTCATTTATTGAATTCCATTAATAAATTTCTGTATTACACAAAATGATCTACAGGTATAATGCAACCTCTATCAAAATACCAGTGGCATACATCATAGAAAATGTATATGGTACCACGAAAGACCCTGAATAGCCAAAGCAATCAAGAAAAAAACATGAAGGTATTACCATACCTTTCAAATATTCTACAGTGCTATAGTAACTAAAGCAGTACGGTACTTGAATAAAAACAGACACATAGGCCAATGGAGCAGTAAAAAAGAGACCAGAAATATATCCATGTATTTAAAGCTAACTGATTTGGAATAAAGATGACAATTTCTTTTCTTTTCTTTTTTTTTTCTTTTTTTAAGATGGAGTCTTGTTCTGTCGCCAGGCTGGAGTGCAGTGGCACAATCTTGCCACTGCAACCCCCACCTCCCAGGTTCAAGTGATTCCCCTGCCTCAGCCTCCTTAGTAGCTAGGACTACAGGCGCCCACACCTGGATAATTTTTTGTATTTTAGTAGAGACAGGTTTCACCATGTTGGCCAGGATGGTCTTGATCTCCTGACCTCCTGATCCACCCACCTTGTCCTGCCAAAGTGCTGGGATTACAGGCGTGAGCCAAAAGAACAGTATCTTCAATAAATGGTGTTGAGATAACTTTATATCCACAGGCAGAGAAATAAAATGAGACCCTCATCTCACACCATATATAAAAATCAACTAAAAGTAAATTAGACACTTAAATGTAAGGCTTAGGATGAACCTGGTGGCTCACGCCTGTAATCCCAGCATTTTGGGAGGTGGAGGCGGGCAGATTACCTGAGGTCAGTTGTTTGCGACCAGCCTGGCCAAGGTAGTGAAACCCTGTTTCTACTAAAAATACAAAACTAGCTGGTGTAGAAAAATACAAAATTTCCTACTAAAAATACAAAATGGTTGCATGTGCCTGTAATACCACCTACTTGGGAGAGAGGCTGAGGCAGAAGAATCACTTGAACCCAGGAGGCTAAGGTTGCAGTGAGTTGAGATCGCGCGCCATTGCACTCCAGCCTGGGCAACAAGAGTGAGACTCCATCTCAAAATAGTAATAATAACAAATAAATGTAAGACCTGAAACTCTGAAACTACTACAGAAAAATAGAATGAAAACCCCATAAAATAGTTCAGGGATACTGGGTATGTACCCAAAGAACTATAAATCATGCTGATATAAAGACATATGCACACGTATGTTTATTGCAGCATTATTCACGATAGCAAAGACTTGGAACCAACCCAAATGTCCAACAATGATAGACTGGATTAAGAAAATGTGGCACATATACACCATGGAATACTATGCAGCCATAAAAAATATGAGTTCATGTCCTTTGTAGGGACATGGATGAAATTGGAAATCATCAGTCTCAGTAAACTATCGCAAGAACAAAAAACCAAACACCGCATATTCTCACTCATAGATGGGAATTGAACAATGAGATCATATGGACACAGGAAGGGGAATATCACACTCTGGGGACTGTTGTGGGGTGGGGGGAGGGGGGAGGTATAACATTGGGAGATATACCTAATGCTAGATGACGAGTTAGTGGGTGCAGCGCACCAGCATGGCACATGTATACATATGTAACTAACCTGCACAATGTGCACATGTACCCTAAAACTTAAAGTATAATAAAAAAAAAGGGGCCATCTAAAAAAAAAATTGTTCAGAGCATTAGTAAGTTGGTTTTTTGTTTTGTTTTGAGACGGAGTCTCACTGTCGACCAGGCTGGGGTGCAGTGGCATGATCTCGGCTCACTGCAACCTCCGCCTCCCGAGTTCAAGTGATTCTTCTGCCTCAGCCTCCCGAGTAGCTGGGATTACAGGCACCCGCCACAGCGCCTGGCTAATTTTTGTATTTTTAGTAGAGACGAGGTTTCACCATGTTGGCCAGGCTGGTCTCAAACTCCTGACATTAGGTGATCCGCCCGCCTCAGCCTCTCAAAGTGCTGGAATTACAGACGTGAACCACCGTGCCTGGACAGTTTTTTAAAATTTAACCTCAAAATCTTAGGAAATAAAAGGAAAAATAGATGAGTCAGATGACTTCAAATTAAAAAGCTGCTGCACAGAATATGATACAATCAACAGGACGAGACAACTAAAAAATGAGAGAAAATATTTGCAAATTATACATGTGACAAGGAGTTAATATCAAAAATATGTAAGAAACTCTGCCAGGTGCGGTGGCTCCCACCTATAATCCTAGCAATTGGGGAGGCTGAGGTGGGCAGATCACCTGAGGTCAGGAGTTCAAGACCAGCCTGGCCAACATGGTGAAACCTCGTCTTTACTAAAAAAAATAAAAAATTAGCTGAGCATGGTGGCGCAGGTGCCACCATGTTCACTTACCATAACTCTCTTTAAAATTTCTATGTTTTGAAGCAAATTTTATATTTGCCGCAGTTTGTGTAAGAATCCAATTTTTTTTTTTTTTGGTTTTACAAAGAAAAACCATGCTGATTTAATCCTCTCACCCGTGGACAGTGTATGTTTTTATTTATCTTAACTGATCTGAAAGTTATATTGATAACCAAACTCTTCAGTTAAAACCAATTTTTCAGTGCATTAAAAAATACCAACTTTCAGCCGGGTGCAGGGGCTCACGCCTGTAATTCCAGCACTTTGGAAGGCCGAGGCAGGTGGATCACATCAGGTGATCCTGATGTGTAAAACCAGCCTGGCCAACATGGTGAAACCCAGTCTCTACTAAAACTACAAAAAAAAAAAAAAAAAAAAAAATCAGCCAGGTGTGGTGGCAGGCGCCTGTAATCCCAGCTACTTGGGAGGCTGAGGCAGGATAATTGCTTGAACCTAGAAAGCGGAGGTTGCAGTGAGCCGACATTGTGCCACTGCACTCCAGCCTTGGTGACAGAGCGAGACTCTGACGCAAAAAAAAAAAAAAAGGCGAACTTTCTCATCAAAATTTACAAAGTACCATGTGAAATGAAACGGCATTAAGACAACACTGAGAAAACTGAAGCCATAACACAGAAAAAGGAGAAGGGCTGTGCTGCATACATAGCTGGGATACACATAATAAATACAGACAAATCTGAAGATAATTAAGAAATAAAAGATGCAGAACTTCTCTTTAAATTCAGCAAGATTCAGCATTGCAGCCTGGAAAATATGTCCTCTTCACATGAAGAATCAATCTGAATTCTTCACCACTGATGTTTTCCATCTCTAACTTGAAGTTACAAACTAACTTTAGCAGGAATACTTATGGCTTACTTCGGAGCATCTGTTACAAGGCAAGAACTATCATGTATGTTTGCTACATTTATTTTTATTTTTTATTTTTTTTTGAGCCGGACTCTCGCTCTGTCGTCCAGGCTGGAGTGCAGTGGTGCGACCTCACCTCACTGCAAGCTCCGCCTCCTGGGTTCACGCCATTCTCTTGCCTCAGCCTCCCCAGTAGCTGGGACTACAGGCGTCCGCCACCATGCCCTGCAAAGTTTTTGTATTTTTTAGCAGAGACGGGGTTTCACCGTGTTAGCCAGGATGGTCTCGATCTCCTGACCTCATGATCCACCAGCCTCGGCCTCCCAAAGTGCTGGGATTACCGGTGTGAGCCACTGCGCCCGGCCTGCTACATTTAAATATAAAAACATCCTCATGACTTATAAAGCTTCCCTAGTACTTATCTGAACAAATTAACTCAATAAATAAATTTACTTATGTCAATTATAAAAAGTGAAAAGAAAAATAACTAAAGGGCTATAGAGTTCTCCAATTAAAAACAAAATGGAGTGTTCTAACTAAATAAAATGTAACTTAATACACTAATTATGGAATTACATTTAAAATTTTTGTATGCACTACTAAATTTTATAAAATTATTCTTATAAACACAGACAAGCTCACATAATGAATACTTCATAAACTATAAAATATATATATCGAAAAGATACAAAGTAATTAGGGGTCTATCATGAGTACCAGACAAGTATAAACAAAATTTGCATGGGGAGATTCAGAACCAAAAGCCATCGATTGTACAGTAATAAATTCAATACAAAGCAGAGAATATACTTGCTTTCAGCATTTTTAAGGTTTTTAGTTTTCTAGTAGTCATCTTGTTGAAATGATTTGCCTTGTTCAATATTGTTTTCTTCTGAAAATAGTTACAAATTCATACTTACACAAACTCACTTACTCTATTGTGGGGAAAAGCAAGAGAGATCAGATTGTTACTGTGTCTGTGTAGAAAGAAGTAGACATAGGAGACTCCATTTTGTTATGTACTAAGAAAAATTCTTCTGCCTTGAGATTCTGTTAATCTATGACCTTACCCCCAACCCCGTGCTCTCTGAAACATGTGCTGTGTCAACTCAAAGTTGAATGGATTAAGGGCGGTGCAGGATGTGCTTTGTTAAACAGATGCTTGAAGGCAGCATGCTCCTTAAGAGTCATCACCACTCCCTAATCTCAAGTACCCAGGGACACAAAAACTGCGGAAGGCCGCAGGGACCTCTGCCTAGGAAAGCCAGGTATTGTCCAAGGTTTCTCCCCATGTGATAGTCTGAAATATGGCCTCGTGGGAAGGGAAAGACCTGACCGTCCCCCAGCCCGACACCCGTAAAGGGTCTGTGCTGAGGAGGATTAGTATAAGAGGAAGGAATGCCTCTTGCAGTTGAGACAAGAGGAAGGCATCTGTCTCCTCCCTGTCCCTGGGCAATGGAATGTCTCGGTATAAAACCCGATTGTATGCTCCATCTACTGAGATAGGGAAAAACCGCCTTAGGGCTGGAGGTGGGACCTGCGGGCAGCAATACTGCTTTGTAAAGCACTGAGATGTTTATGTGTATGCATATCTAAAAGCACAGCACTTAATCCTTTACATTGTCTATGATGCCAAGACCTTTGTTCACGTGTTTGTCTGCTGACCCTCTCCCCACAATTGTCTTGTGACCCTGACACATCCCCCTCTTTGAGAAACACCCACAGATGATCAATAAATACTAAGGGAACTGAGAGGCTGGCGGGATCCTCCATATGCTGAACGCTGGTTCCCCGGTTCCCCTTATTTCTTTCTCTATACTTTGTCTCTGTGTCTTTTTCTTTTCCAAATCTCTCGTCCCACCTTACGAGAAACACCCACAGGTGTGTAGGGGCAACCCACCCCTACATCTGGTGCCCAACGTGGAGGTTTTTCTCTAGGGTGAAGGTACGCTCGAGCGTGGTCATTGAGGACAAGTCGACGAGAGATCCCGAGTACGTCTACAGTCAGCCTTATGGTAAGCTTGTGCGCTCAGAAGAAGCTAGGGTGATAATGGGGCAAACTAAAAGTAAAATTAAAAGTAAATATGCCTCTTATCTCAGCTTTATTAAAATTCTTTTAAAAAGAGGGGGAGTTAAAGTATCTACAAAAAATCTAATCAAGCTATTTCAAATAATAGAACAATTTTGCCCATGGTTTCCAGAACAAGGAACTTTAGATCTAAAAGACTGGAAAAGAATTGGTAAGGAACTAAAACAAGCAGGTAGGAAGGGTAATATCATTCCACTTACAGTATGGAATGATTGGGCCATTATTAAAGCAGCTTTAGAACCATTTCAAACAGAAGAAGATAGTGTTTCAGTTTCTGATGCCCCTGGAAGCTGTATAATAGATTGTAATGAAAAGACAAGGAAAAAATCCCAGAAAGAAACCGAAAGTTTACATTGCGAATATGTAGCAGAGCCAGTAATGGCTCAGTCAACGCAAAATGTTGACTATAATCAATTACAGGAGGTGATATATCCTGAAACGTTAAAATTAGAAGGAAAAGGTCCAGAATTAATGGGGCCATCAGAGTCTAAACCACGAGGGCCAAGTCCTCTTCCAGCAGGTCAGGTGCCCGTAACATTACAACCTCAAAAGCAGGTTAAAGAAAATAAGACCCAACCGCCAGTAGCCTACCAATACTGGCCGCCGGCTGAACTTCAGTATCAGCCACCCCCAGAAAGTCAGTATGGATATCCAGGAATGCCCCCAGCACCACAGGGCAGGGCGCCATACCCTCAGCCGCCCACTAGGAGACTTAATCCTACGGCACCACCTAGTAGACAGGGTAGTGAATTACATGAAATTATTGATAAATCAAGAAAGGAAGGAGATACTGAGGCATGGCAATTCCCAGTAACGTTAGAACTGATGCCACCTGGAGAAGGAGCCCAAGAGGGAGAGCCTCCCACAGTTGAGGCCAGATACAAGTCTTTTTCAATAAAAATGCTAAAAGATATGAAAGAGGGAGTAAAACAGTATGGACCCAACTCCCCTTATATGAGGACATTATTAGATTCCATTGCTCATGGACATAGACTCATTCCTTATGATTGGGAGATTCTGGCAAAATCGTCTCTCTCACCCTCTCAATTTTTACAATTTAAGACTTGGTGGATTGATGGGGTACAAGAACAGGTCCGAAGAAATAGGGCTGCCAATCCTCCAGTTAACATAGATGCAGATCAACTATTAGGAATAGGTCAAAATTGGAGTACTATTAGTCAACAAGCATTAATGCAAAATGAGGCCATTGAGCAAGTTAGAGCTATCTGCCTTAGAGCCTGGGAAAAAATCCAAGACCCAGGAAGTACCTGCCCCTCATTTAATACAGTAAGACAAGGTTCAAAAGAGCCCTATCCTGATTTTGTGGCAAGGCTCCAAGATGTTGCTCAAAAGTCAATTGCCGATGAAAAAGCCCGTAAGGTCATAGTGGAGTTAATGGCATATGAAAACGCCAATCCTGAGTGTCAATCAGCCATTAAGCCATTAAAAGGAAAGGTTCCTGCAGGATCAGATGTAATCTCAGAATATGTAAAAGCCTGTGATGGAATCGGAGGAGCTATGCATAAAGCTATGCTTATGGCTCAAGCAATAACAGGAGTTGTTTTAGGAGGACAAGTTAGAACATTTGGAGGAAAATGTTATAATTGTGGTCAAATTGGTCACTTAAAAAAGAATTGCCCAGTCTTAAACAAACAGAATATAACTATTCAAGCAACTACAACAGGTAGAGAGCCACCTGACTTATGTCCAAGATGTAAAAAAGGAAAACATTGGGCTAGTCAATGTCGTTCTAAATTTGATAAAAATGGGCAACCATTGTCGGGAAACGAGCAAAGGGGCCAGCCTCAGGCCCCACAACAAACTGGGGCATTCCCAATTCAGCCATTTGTTCCTCAGAGTTTTCAGGGACAACAACCCCCACTGTCCCAAGTGTTTCAGGGAATAAGCCAGTTACCACAATACAACAATTGTCCCCCGCCACAAGCGGCAGTGCAGCAGTAGATTTATGTACTATACAAGCAGTCTCTCTGCTTCCAGGGGAGCCCCCACAAAAAATCCCTACAGGGGTATATGGCCCCCTGCCTGAGGGGACTGTAGGACTAATCTTGGGAAGATCAAGTCTAAATCTAAAAGGAGTTCAAATTCATACTAGTGTGGTTGATTCAGACTATAAAGGCGAAATTCAATTGGTTATTAGCTCTTCAATTCCTTGGAGTGCCAGTCCAGGAGACAGGATTGCTCAATTATTACTCCTGCCATATATTAAGGGTGGAAATAGTGAAATAAAAAGAACAGGAGGGCTTGGAAGCACTGATCCGACAGGAAAGGCTGCATATTGGGCAAGTCAGGTCTCAGAGAACAGACCTGTGTGTAAGGCCATTATTCAAGGAAAACAGTTTGAAGGGTTGGTAGACACTGGAGCAGATGTCTCTATCATTGCTTTAAATCAGTGGCCAAAAAATTGGCCTAAACAAAAGGCTGTTACAGGACTTGTCGGCATAGGCACAGCCTCAGAAGTGTATCAAAGTACGGAGATTTTACATTGCTTAGGGCCAGATAATCAAGAAAGTACTGTTCAGCCAATGATTACTTCAATTCCTCTTAATCTGTGGGGTCGAGATTTATTACAACAATGGGGTGTGGAAATCACCATGCCCGCTCCATTATATAGCCCCACGAGTCAAAAAATCATGACCAAGATGGGATATATACCAGGAAAGGGACTAGGGAAAAATGAAGATGGCATTAAAGTTCCAGTTGAGGCTAAAATAAATCAAGAAAGAGAAGGAATAGGGTATCCTTTTTAGGGGCGGCCACTGTAGAGCCTCCTAAACCCATACCATTAACTTGGAAAACAGAAAAACTGGTGTGGGTAAATCAGTGGCCGCTACCAAAACAAAAACTGGAGGCTTTACATTTATTAGCAAATGAACAGTTAGAAAAGGGTCACATTGAACCTTCGTTCTCACCTTGGAATTCTCCTGTGTTTGTAATTCAGAAGAAATCAGGCAAATGGCGTATGTTAACTGACTTAAGGGCTGTAAACGCCGTAATTCAACCCATGGGGCCTCTCCAACCTGGGTTGCCCTCTCCAGCCATGATCCCAAAAGATTGGCCTTTAATTATAATTGATCTAAAGGATTGCTTTTTTACCATCCCTCTGGCAGAGCAGGATTGTGAAAAATTTGCCTTTACTATACCAGCCATAAATAATAAAGAACCAGCCACCAGGTTTCAGTGGAAAGTGTTACCTCAGGGAATGCTTAATAGTCCAACTATTTGTCAGACTTTTGTAGGTCGAGCTCTTCAACCAGTTAGAGACAAGTTTTCAGACTGTTATATCATTCATTATATTGATGATATTTTATGTGCTGCAGAAACGAAAGATAAATTAATTGACTGTTATACATTTCTGCAAGCAGAGGTTGCCAATGCTGGACTGGCAATAGCATCTGATAAGATCCAAACCTCTACTCCTTTTCATTATTTAGGGATGCAGATAGAAAATAGAAAAATTAAGCCACAAAAAATAGAAATAAGAAAAGACACATTAAAAACACTAAATGATTTTCAAAAATTACTAGGAGATATTAATTGGATTCGGCCAACTCTAGGCATTCCTACTTATGCCATGTCAAATTTGTTCTCTATCTTAAGAGGAGACTCAGACTTAAATAGTAAAAGAATGTTAACCCCAGAGGCAACAAAAGAAATTAAATTAGTGGAAGAAAAAATTCAGTCAGCACAAATAAATAGAATAGATCCCTTAGCCCCACTCCGACTTTTGATTTTTGCCACTGCACATTCTCCAATAGGCATCATTATTCAAAATACTGATCTTGTGGAGTGGTCATTCCTTCCTCACAGTACAGTTAAGACTTTTACATTGTACTTGGATCAAATAGCTACATTAATCGGTCAGACAAGATTACGAATAATAAAATTATGTGGGAATGACCCAGACAAAATAGTTGTCCCTTTAACCAAGGAACAAGTTAGACAAGCCTTTATCAATTCTGGTGCATGGCAGATTGGTCTTGCTAATTTTGTGGGAATTATTGATAATCATTACCCAAAAACAAAGATCTTCCAGTTCTTAAAATTGACTACTTGGATTCTACCTAAAATTACCAGACGTGAACCTTTAGAAAATGCTCTAACAGTATTTACTGATGGTTCCAGCAATGGAAAAGCAGCTTACACAGGGCTGAAAGAACGAGTAATCAAAACTCCATATCAATCGGCTCAAAGAGCAGAGTTGGTTGCAGTCATTACAGTGTTACAAGATTTTGACCAGCCTATCAATATTATATCAGATTCTGCATATGTAGTACAGGCTACAAGGGATGTTGAGACAGCTCTAATTAAATATAGCATGGATGATCAGTTAAACCAGCTATTCAATTTATTACAACAAACTGTAAGAAAAAGAAATTTCCCATTTTATATTACTCATATTCGAGCACACACTAATTTACCAGGGCCTTTGACTAAAGCAAATGAACAAGCTGACTTACTGGTATCATCTGCACTCATAAAAGCACAAGAACTTCATGCTTTGACTCATGTAAATGCAGCAGGATTAAAAAACAAATTTGATGTCACATGGAAACAGGCAAAAGATATTGTACAACATTGCACCCAGTGTCAAGTCTTACACCTGCCCACTCAAGAGGCAGGAGTTAATCCCAGAGGTCTGTGTCCTAATGCATTATGGCAAATGGATGTCACACATGTACCTTCATTTGGAAGATTATCATATGTTCATGTAACAGTTGATACTTATTCACATTTCATATGGGCAACTTGCCAAACAGGAGAAAGTACTTCCCATGTTAAAAAACATTTATTGTCTTGTTTTGCTGTAATGGGAGTTCCAGAAAAAATCAAAACTGACAATGGACCAGGATATTGTAGTAAAGCTTTCCAAAAATTCTTAAGTCAGTGGAAAATTTCACATACAACAGGAATTCCTTATAATTCCCAAGGACAGTCCATAGTTGAAAGAACTAATAGAACACTCAAAACTCAATTAGTTAAACAAAAAGAAGGGGGAGACAGTAAGGAGTGTACCACTCCTCAGATGCAACTTAATCTAGCACCCTATACTTTAAATTTTTTAAACATTTATAGAAATCAGACTACTACTTCTGCAGAACAACATCTTACTGGTAAAAAGAACAGCCCACATGAAGGAAAACTAATTTGGTGGAAAGATAATAAAAATAAGACATGGGAAATAGGGAAGGTGATAACGTGAGGGAGAGGTTTTGCTTGTGTTTCACCAGGAGAAAATCAGCTTCCTGTTTGGATGCCCACTAGACATTTGAAGTTCTACAATGAACCCATTGGAGATGCAAAGAAAAGCACCTCCGCGGAGACGGAGACACCGCAATCGAGCACCGTTGACTCACAAGATGAACAAAATGGTGACGTCAGAAGAACAGATGAAGTTGCCATCCACCAAGAAGGCAGAGCCGCCGACTTGGGCACAACTAAAGAAGCTGACGCAGTTAGCTACAAAATATCTAGAGAACACAAAGGTGACACAAACCCCAGAGAGTATGCTGCTTGCAGCCTTGATGATTGTATCAATGGTGGTAAGTCTCCCTATGCCTGCAGGAGCAGCTGCAGCTAACTATACCTACTGGGCCTATGTGCCTTTCCCGCCCTTAATTCGGGCAGTCACATGGATGGATAATCCTATAGAAATATATGTTAATGATAGTGTATGGGTACCTGGCCCCACAGATGATTGCTGCCCTGCCAAACCTGAGGAAGAAGGGATGATGATAAATATTTCCATTGGGTATCGTTATCCTCCTATTTGCCTAGGGAGAGCACCAGGATGTTTAATGCCTGCAGTCCAAAATTGGTTGGTAGAAGTACCTACTGTCAGTCCCATCAGTAGATTCACTTATCACATGGTAAGCGGGATGTCACTCAGGCCACGGGTAAATTATTCACAAGACTTTTCTTATCAAAGATCATTAAAATTTAGACCTAAAGGGAAACCTTGCCCCAAGGAAATTCCCAAAGAATCAAAAAATACAGAAGTTTTAGTTTGGGAAGAATGTGTGGCCAATAGTGCGGTGATATTACAAAACAATGAATTCGGAACTCTTATAGATTGGGCACCTCAAGGTCAATTCTACCACAATTGCTCAGGACAAACTCAGTCGTGTCCAAGTGCACAAGTGAGTCCAGCTGTTGATAGCGACTTAACAGAAAGTTTAGACAAACATAAGCATAAAAAATTGCAGTCTTTCTACCCTTGGGAATGGGGAGAAAAAGGAATCTCTACCGCAAGACCAAAAATAATAAGTCCTGTTTCTGGTCCTGAACATCCAGAATTATGGAGGCTTACTGTGGCCTCACACCACATTAGAATTTGGTCTGGAAATCAAACTTTAGAAACAAGAGATCGTAAGCCATTTTATACTATCGACCTAAATTCCAGTCTAACAGTTCCTTTACAAAGTTGCGTAAAGCCCCCTTATATGCTAGTTGTAGGAAATATAGTTATTAAACCAGACTCCCAGACTATAACCTGTGAAAATTGTAGATTGCTTACTTGCATTGATTCAACTTTTAATTGGCAACACCGTATTCTGCTGGTGAGAGCAAGAGAGGGCGTGTGGATCCCTGTGTCCATGGACCGACCGTGGGAGGCCTCACCATCCGTCCATATTTTGACTGAAGTATTAAAAGGTGTTTTAAATAGATCCAAAAGATTCATTTTTACTTTAATTGCAGTGATTATGGGATTAATTGCAGTCACAGCTACGGCTGCTGTAGCAGGACTTGCATTGCACTCTTCTTTTCAGTCAGTAAACTTTGTTAATGATTGGCAAAATAATTCTACAAGATTGTGGAATTCACAATCTAGTATTGATCAAAAATTGGCAAATCAAATTAATGATCTTAGACAAACTGTCATTTGGATGGGAGACAGGCACATGAGCTTAGAACATCGTTTCCAGTTACAATGTGACTGGAATACGTCAGATTTTTGTATTACACCCCAAATTTATAATGAGTCTGAGCATCACTGGGACATGGTTAGACGCCATCTACAGGGAAGAGAAGATAATCTCACTTTAGACATTTCCAAATTAAAAGAACAAATTTTTGAAGCATCAAAAGCCCATTTAAATTTGGTGCCAGGAACTGAGGCAATTGCAGGAGTTGCTGATGGCCTCGCAAATCTTAACACTGTCACTTGGGTTAAGACCATTGGAAGTACTACAATTATAAATCTCATATTAATCCTTGTGTTCCTGTTTTGTCTGTTGTTAGTCTACAGGTGTACCCAACAGCTCCGAAGAGACAGCGACCATCGAGAATGGGCCATGATGACGATGGTGGTTTTGTCGAAAAGAAAAGGGGGAAATGTGGGGAAAAGCAAGAGAGATCAGATTGTTACTGTGTCTGTGTAGAAAGAAGTAGACATAGGAGACTCCATTTTGTTATGTATTAAGAAAAATTCTTCTGCCTTGAGATTCTGTTAATCTATGACCTTACCCCCAACCCCGTGCTCTCTGAAACATCTGCTGTGTCAACTCAGAGTTGAATGGATTAAGGGCGGTGCAGGATGTGCTTTGTTAAACAGATGCTTGAAGGCAGCATGCTCCTTAAGAGTCATCACCACTCCCTAATCTCAAGTACCCAGGGACACAAAAACTGCAGAAGGCCGCAGGGACCTCTGCCTAGGAAAGCCAGGTATTGTCCAAGGTTTCTCCCCATGTGATAGTCTGAAATATGGCCTCGTGGGAAGGGAAAGACCTGACCGTCCCCCAGCCCGACACCTGTAAAGGGTCTGTGCTGAGGAGGATTAGTAAAAGAGGAAGGAATGCCTCTTGCAGTTGAGACAAGAGGAAGGCATCTGTCTCCTCCCTGTCCCTGGGCAATGGAATGTCTCGGTATAAAACCCGATTGTATGCTCCATCTACTGAGATAGGGAAAAACCGCCTTAGGGCTGGAGGTGGGACCTGCGGGCAGCAATACTGCTTTGTAAAGCATTGAGATGTTTATGTGTATGCATATCTAAAAGCACAGCACTTAATCCTTTACATTGTCTATGATGCCAAGACCTTTGTTCACGTGTTTGTCTGCTGACCCTCTCCCCACAATTGTCTTGTGACCCTGACACATCCCCCTCTTTGAGAAACACCCACAGATGATCAATAAATACTAAGGGAACTGAGAGGCTGGCGGGATCCTCCATATGCTGAACGCTGGTTCCCCGGTTCCCCTTATTTCTTTCTCTATACTTTGTCTCTGTGTCTTTTTCTTTTCCAAATCTCTCGTCCCACCTTACGAGAAACACCCACAGGTGTGTAGGGGCAACCCACCCCTACACTCTATAATTTTCTTACACCTAAGGTTTATCTTTAGACTAACATATATTGAACTCTATGTAAATCAAAACTAAACGTCTGCATGTGTTTGTGGGCAGACAGGAAACATGTTCAAAAAATAAATATCAGAAAACTTTAAAAATATTTATTCAGGACTCAGAAATGTATGGATTTTATTCATATTTCTACATAACTTTTATTTTGACCATAAAAATTACACTGTAATCAATAACAATTTAAATGTACATCTTTAAATAACTAAAAGCATACAATTGGATTGTTTGTTATACAAAGGATAAATGCTAAGCCGGGCACGGTGGCTCACACCTGTAATCCCAGCACTTTGGGAGGCCAAGGCAGGCAGATCGTGAGTTCAGGAGTTTGAGACCAGCCTGACCAACAAGGTGAAACCCTGTCTCCACTAAAAACACAAAAATTAGCTGGGCATGGTGGTGCATGCCTGTAATCCCAGCTACTCAGGAGGCTGAGGTAGAAGAATCATTTGAACCCAGGAGGTGGAGGTTGCAGTGAGCCAAGCTTGCACCACTGCCCTCTAGCCTGGGCAGCACAACAAGACTCTGTCTCAACAAAAAAAAAAAGATAAATACTAGAGGTGATGGATACCTCATTTACCCTGGTGTGATTATTATATAGTGTATTCTTGTATCAAAATATGCCATATATTGCATGAATATATACTCATATTATGTACCCCAAATAATTAAGAAAAATAAATTTAAATAAAATAAAAATTTGGCTGGGCATGGTGACTCACACCTGTAATCCCAGCACTTTGGGAGGCCGAGACGTGTGGATCATTTGAGGTCAGGAGTTTGAGACCAGCTTGACCTGCATAGTGAAACCCTGTCTCTACTAAAATACAAAAATTAGCTGGGTGTGGTGGCGGGTGCCTGTAATCCCAGCTACTTGGGAGATTGAGGCAGAAGAATTGCTTGAACCCAGGAGGCAAGGTTGCAGTGAGCTGAGATTGTGCCACTGCACTCCAGACTGCGTGACAGAGCAAGACTCCCTCTCAAAAAAAATTAAATAAAATAGAAACAAAAATTTAATTTAAAGAAATAATATTGTTTAACTTATTTGCAGTCAAAGCCACTGGCAAAAGTACTAGAGAAGTTAATCCATTATGTTAACAAATAGTATATTATTACCATATTTTATGTACAACCTTGAGTAAGGGGGAATTAATGTTTGTTACATAACACTTCACTGAATGCACAACAGTATTTAAAATGTTAAAGATGTTGAATATATTAACATCACATATAATCTGAAATTTTCAAAATATACTGCATTTTATATAAAAGTATAATTAGTACAATATACTAAATTTTAATTTACTTATGAAATTAAAAATGTTTTCTTCTCATAATACAGAAGAATATGACTGAACACTTAACTCACACATTACTCAATATTATAAGTTAACCACAAAGGTCTCTTCACTTAGATTTTCATCATGCATCTTACATTTTAATGTCCTTACATTTTCATAACAAAGTTTATAAATAATGCTCACCTAATAAAAAAGAATCTCTCATATCTTGGATGCAGCAACAATTCATCACATGCTCTCACATGTAAATAGGAATGAAGAAACAGCAGGAAATAATTTGAGAATTGAATTACATCATTATTCACTTTTCAAAAAATCTATGTTTTCCAAAAGTTAAGCATACTTTGAATGTAATTATAATTCTGCAAAAAATTCTTTTAAACTTACATATGAATAATTTTTCTATCAACTTTAGTTTTAGATTATTTTCTATCATGAGCACTGTGATTTAGTATAATATCTGAAGTGTCAGTGCCTTATATATTTCTACTGTAAATTCTCTGATATTTACATAGACTTAATTTTGTATTAAAATTTCTTTAAATTTTTACTGCATCTGCAAAAATATGTTTTAGTATGAACTCTCTGGTGTTTTCTAAGCTGTAGTTTTTGAAAAAGTATTTTTCCAAATTTATTACATTTGCAGGGTTTTTTTTTCAATATAAATTCCCTGATATTAAACAAAGTTTGAGCAATTGCTTCTGAGGTTTCCTCTAATACAAAATGTGTACAATAAGATCTGTGACACAAGTAAACATATTACAACCCTACTACAATGTTCTTCTTTAAAATAATCTTCTTTACTTTAGAGGCTTCCATTTTCTTAAAGATATTTTGACAGTAGTTGCACTTATAATGTTTTTATTAAGTATGAACTCTCTGATGTTGAGTAAGATGTGAGCATGTATTAATGGCTTTTTCACAGTCTTTATATTTGTACAATATCTCTCAAGTATAAATGCTTTCCTGTGAAGTAAGGTGTGCGCACTGGTTAAAAGTTTTGTCACACTGTTCACACATGTAGAAGTTTTCTCCAGTATAACTTATCTTACCTACAATCAAGTGTGACAACCATTTAAAACTTTATCATATTCTTCACATTTCTAGGATTTCTCAACACTATGATTTCTTTTATGTTTAGAAAAGTTTGAGGTGTTTTCAAAAGCCCTGTCACATCTTTCTGGTTTATAGAAATTATCTCTAGTATGAATTATCTTATATCTGTTAAGAATTGAGAACTTATTAAAGGCTTTGCCATATTCTTCACACTAACAGGGGTTCTCTCTAGCATGAATTTTTTTATGTTTAGTAAGAGTTGAGGACTAGTTAAAGGCTTTGCCACATTTTTCACATTTGTAGGGTTTCTCTCCAGTATGAATTCTCTTATGTGTAGTAGGAGTTGAGGAGTGGTTAAAGACTTTGCCACATTCTTCACATTTGTAGAATTTATCTCCAGTATGACTTATCTTATGGTTCTTAAGGTATGAGAATCTTGCAAAAGCTTTGCCACATTCTTCACATTTGTAGGGCTTCTCTCCAGCATGAGTTATCTTATGGGCAGTTAGGGTTGAGGATTGGTGAAAAGCTTTGCCACATTCTTCACATTTGTAGGGTTTCTCTCCAATATGAATTCTTCTATGTGTAGTGAGGTGTGAACACCAGTTAAAGGCCTTCCCACATTCTTCACATCTGTACGGTTTCTCTCCAGTATGAATTATCTTATGTGTAGTAAGGTGTGAGGACCGTTTAAATTCTTTCTCACATTCTTCACATTTGTAGGATTTCTCTCCAGTATGAATTCTCCTGTGTTCAGTAAGAATTGAGAAGCAGTTGAAGGCTTTGCCACAATCTTCACATTGGTAGGAATTCTCTGTAATATGAAATCTTTTATGTCGAGTTAGGTGTAAAAGCATGCAGAATGATTTTTCACATTTTTTACATTTGAAAGGTTTCTTTCTAGTATGTCTTATCTTATGTCTATTTCAATTTGAAAATGTATGAAAGACTTTTTCATATGGATCACATTGAAATATATTGCTCTTGGTAGTTATCAAACACAGGTTTAGTTTGTTATCATCTTCTTTGTGTACCTTACACTCATCCACACTTTTATAGCCTTTTTGTAACTGTAAATTGTCATGTCCACATTTTCCATATTTTTTCAGAATCGCTTCTTGAAAAGAATCTTTAATGTCCTGCTCTGCCCAAAGGTCTTGGGCAAAATGAGAACATATAACTGAAAGAAATAAAAATAACAAATTACTTGCTAGACACAGACAAAGTTTTCAAATCTAACTTATTATACAAACTACATAAACAAGATGGCATAGGAAAATACCAAAGGCCCTCATTCCTTTAGACATGTAAATGTAACAAAAACATACCAACCAAATTACATCTGAAAAAAATTTACAAATGAGCTAAGTGTATGAAGTGCCCATGGTGAGAACAACGCAAAGAGCCACCTGGAAGTGAAAGTCTGCTATATTTACCCAACACAGCTCTTTCTGCTCCCCAATATAACATAGTGTCTTTAGAAGTAAATTGCCAACGTTTTAACGACAAGTAAAATACTGGCACATTCATCTTTGTTACTTGCTTCTAGGAGCTTTCCAAAACTGGTTTGTGTCTCTCTTGAAATATAATGCTGAAAGAAATGGTGGTATACTTTGGAGTGACAGTTTAAGTTTGCTGAGACCAAAGGTAAATGTTACAGCACCAGAGAGACTACTGTACCACACAGAGAAAACAGGTGTAGCACGTGACTACTATTAAGAAGAAACATGAATAAATTCCTTTAACTAAAAAATAAAGAACATTTCAGACAAGACACATTCTAAGAACATGTTTGAGAGACTCCCAGAATCTCTAACCAAGACGATTGTTCAGACTATGCCAGGACAAAGCTACATTATAAAGATTGTGACAGGTAGCCTTTTTTAATGTCCAAATTTCAATCAAGGGTTACAATGTATACAAAATAAGGCAATATGTTGAAGCTCAACAAACAAACTAGGAAACACACAAAGATATTTATAACAAACACATATATAAGCACAATTTCAAAAGTCACAGACAAGAAGAGAACCTTGGGAGCTGCAAGATAAAAGTGATGCGTCATTTGCAAGCATAGTCTTATGAGACAGCCAGTGAATTGTCAACAAAAATTTTGCAGACCAGAAGGGAAATGTGTGATAAAGTCAAACTCCTGAAAAATACAGCGATCAAGACAGCATAATACCATCAGCAAATCTGTCCTGCCAAATAAAAAGAAAAAAACTTTCAAAAATAACAAAATTCTGAAAAGTATATTGGAACTCCATAAACCCTACATATAAAAAGTGCTGAAAGCAGTTGCTTCTTCTGAAAATAACATAATTCAACAAAAGCAACACATAATCATATAAAACTACATTTATTTTCTGGGAAAGATTATATGCACATATATATTTTTACTTCTAAGTATATGCACATACACCAAAATGGAATTTCTTTGCATTATAATAATGGTGCAGAAAACATTTTTAATTATTATCTGAAAGTTGAAAGAGAAAATCACAGAAATCATTATAAACATCTGTTAATAAATATACAACATAAAAAGATATAATTAGCAAAATCAATGACAAATTTGAGGGAAGATGTAATGAGAAAAAAATTGTGCATGCAAATGAAGTTCCTTTTTACCAGATTGAAATATACTGTTTTATCTTTTAGAGGTTTATGTAATCCC
Organism: Homo sapiens; assembly: GCF_000001405.40. Lineage (NCBI taxonomy): Eukaryota > Metazoa > Chordata > Mammalia > Primates > Hominidae > Homo > Homo sapiens. Next base: position 5,367 of record NW_003315964.2, on the reverse strand, counting down.
CAAGGTACCTCAAAGAACATATGTGTATAGATGCACAAAACAAATTAAGAAATAAGTAAAAGAAACATATCAATATAAAACTAAAAAGACACAAAGACAAAGAGAAAATGAGTGACCAAGATATAAGAATCAAATAAAACAATAAAATAACATTAGTATGTCTTCCTGTTTCAGAAAATTATTTAAATATATATCTTTAACTTTGCAATCAAGAAACATACTTTTAATAAAGAGATTTATTTAAATATTTTAAAAACTGAGATCCAATTTGCCTTTCTACAAGAGTAAGCTGAGATCTACTGATAAAAAAAACTGAAAGTGGCAAGATGGATATACATATTGCAAGTAAATATTAACCAAATGAGAGAAGAGGTCAAAATAATATGACATAAGCTATATCTTAAGTGAAAAACTTTCATATTTTATAAAATGTACTAAAAGTCAAAATTGCAAAGAGACAAAAGACATTAAAAAATAATAGATTCATTTACTGATAACCTAAGTCAAATGTATGTGTGTGTGTGTGTGTGTGTGTATCTCACATTAAGTTTCCAAATATATAAAGCAAACATTGACAGAATGGAAGAAACACCTAGACAGCAATATAATTATAGTAGGACATTTCCATACCCTACTTTCCATAATAAAAATAAAACAAAACAGAATATTTGTTAGTGAAGAGAGGACTTGAAGGCAGTATAAAACAATTATTTCTAACAGATATATAGAGAAGACTCCTCAACAATATCAGGATACACATGCTTCTCAATTGCTCATACAACATTCTCCTTGGTAGACCATATGTTAGGCCAAAAAGGAAGTCTTAATGCATTTGCTAAGACTGAAATTGTATGGATTATATGAACAAAATGGAATGAGTATAAAACAATAATAGAAAAAGAACTAAAAATTCACAAATACATGGAAATTAAACAACACACTCTTGAGCATGCTCCTGTTTAAAGGTAGAAATAATTGATATTTTGAAAACATCCATACTTCTCAATGTAATCTACAGATTTAATGCAATGTTTTAAAAAATTTCTCATTGCATTTTTGAGGAAATAGAAACAACTCCAAAAATATATAAAATGTCAAGAGACAATAAAGTACCCAAGAGTCTTCAAAAAAAGAAAATGAAGGCATTATAGTTCCTGATTTCAAAACACATTACAAAGCTACAGAATTAAAACAATTTGGTATGAGTATAATGGGTAAAAAGTAGGCTAATAAAATAGAATGCAGCACCTATATAAAGTTTCACATATATGGTCATATGAAGAGTTATTTTCATACCCATAATTATTGCAGCATTTTTACTGAAAGCCAATAAGTAAAAGCAATGCAAATTTCTTTCTATTGTTTTTGTTTGTTTGTTTGTTTTGAGACTGAGTCTTGCACTGTTGCACAGGCTGGAGTGCAGTGACACTTGGCTCACTGCAACCTCCACCTCCCAGGTTCAAGCAATTCTCCTGCCTCAGCCTCCCAAGTAGCTGGGAAAACAGGTGTGTGCCACCATGCCCAGCTAATTTTTTGTATTTTTAGTAGAGACGGGGTTTCACCATGTTGGCCTGGATGGTCTCGATCTATTGACTTGTTATCTTCCTGCCTCAGCCTCTCAAAGTGCTGGGATTACAGATGTGAGCCACTGCGCCCGGCAGCAATGCAACTTTCTGTCACCAAATTATCCAATACATATAATTTGTGACATAAAAATACTGGAATATCACCCAGGATTTAAAAAGCAGGAAATAGTCTAACAACTCTAAAAATAAAGCTTGATGACATTATGCAAAATAAAATGAGCTAGCCACAATGAGACAGAGATTGTATAAGACATATGAGGCAGTTACACTCTTAGAAAAAGAAAACAAAGTGGTGTTTGCAAAGTGCCAGAAAATCAGAAAAATTGGTTGTTGTTTAATGTACACTGAGATTTAGATTTGCAAGATAAAAACATTCTAGGTGTATGTTGCGTAATATTATCACTATAATTAATATGACTAAACAGATTATTTAAAAATATTTGATAATGGGCCAGGTGTGATGACTCACACCTGTAATCCCAGCACTTTGGGAGGCCAGGTGGGTGGATCACGAGGTCAGGAGTTGGATACCAGCCTGGCCAACACGGTGAAACCCCATCTCTACTAACAATACAAAAATTAGCAGGGTGTGGTGTCGCATGCCTGTAATCCCAGCTACTCAGGAGGCTGAGGCAAAAGAATCGCTTGAACCCAGGAGACGGAGGTTGCAGTGAGCCAAGATGCCACAACTGCACCCCAGCCTGGGCAACAGAGATGCTGTCTCAAGAAAAAAAAAAAGATAATATTTTATGTGTTTTTGACAAGTAAAAATGAACAATATATAAAGATATAATAGTTTCAATTTTATCTTCAAATCCCAAAGTATTTCTCCCACACAGAAGTAATGTAGATTCACAACAGATACTGAAATTAGGAGAATTTTATAACTGGTCACCTAGCCAAGACTAAACGACCATTCAAAACAAACCTACAAAACAAATATACAAGTGATAAAATAAACAGAGATGACATTTATAGAGGTAAACAAACACAGAGGTAATTATATTGGCAGTAGACTTCTGGCTGATTTATATTGATTTTGCTAGACTGTCTTAAATTGCACAGAGTTAAACACTGTCATACACAATTATAATATAAAATAAAACACCAAAACACAAGTAAATGGTGTGAAGTGGCATACCTTAAAATATATAACACAAAAATATAACATTGCAAAACAAAATTAAAATATGGAATGTAAAATGTATTGGACACCATCAAGTAGATCAATATATTCATGAAAGGAATCTTAGAAGAATATAGGGAAAAAGTAATACAGAGCTTATTTGAAGACAAAAAAGACTGAGAACTTCCCAAATTTTGATGTTATAAAAGAATTTCTAACTAATACTTAATTCAAAATTATTTTACTTCAAAAACAAGATAAAAATAAAGACTTTCCAAAATAAAAGTTCAGGGCATTTATTACAACTACCAGAGTCCTACATAAAATGTTAAATGGTAGCCAGGCACAGTGGCTCAGGCCTGTAATTCTACAGCTTTAGGAAGACAAGGTAGATAGATCACTTGAGACCAGTAGTTCAAGATCAGCCAGAGAAACATAGTGAGACTCTGCATACAAACAAAAAGAAATGCTAAAATGAGTCCATTATGTTGAAAAACAAAATGATACTAGACAGCATCATAAAACATATATAAATATGAAGTTCTCTATTAAATGTAAATACAGACACATATAGAATTTTTTACTATCAAAATGATGCTGCATAAAACCCTTAAAGTTCTTCTACAGATATAAAAAACAAGATATAAATCTGTATAAATCTGTTAATAGATACATGATGTAAGATAATATGGTTTTTAATATTAATAACAAACTGGAAAATATAACAGTATAAGTTTTGTATTTAATTGAAGTGTGATGAGATTAAAATACATAGTTTTAACTTTAAGATGTTTTATGTAATCTGTTCTTCAATATGGTTACATTGTATTTCAAGATTACATTATACTTATGGAAAGTATGCAAAACAAAATAAAAAATAAAGCATGTCACAATAAAATTAAAACAAAAATTAAGGCAGTAAAACAAGAAATGAGAAAAGACATATCTACAAGAAACACATAAAAGTGTAACAATGAAGTGGTTTCTGCAGATCAGCAGACTTAGTCTTTCCCCCTGCTGGCTCTGAAAAATCTGGGCAGTCCAGATGTATGGAATTTCTCCCAGTGAAGCACACCCCCTTCACCAAGAAGCAGCCAGAGTGCCTTGTTAAGTGGTTCCTGAATCCTGTGCATCCTGACTGAGTGAGGACCACCCCCCCAACAGGCATTGTAAGACAACTTATAAAGAAGTATTCCCACTGTCATCAGCTCAGTGCCCATCTGGGAAAAAGCTTACAGATGAAGGAGCAGGCAGTTCTCTCTGCTGTTCTACACACTCCACTGGTGACACCTCCAGGTGTGGGAGAAACCCAGGCAAATAGGATCTGAAGTGGATCCCAAGCAAATCACAGCGGCCCTACAGAAGAGGGGCCTGACTGTTAAAAGAAAAACAGAAAGCAACCACAGCAGCATCAACAAAAATGTCCCCACAAAAACCCCATCCAAACGTCAGCAGCCTCAAAGACCAAAGCTAGATAAACTCATGATGATGAGAATAATCAATAAAAAAATGTTCAAAACTCAAAAAGCCAGAGTGTCTCTACTCCTCCAAATAATCAAAACATGTCTCCAGCAAGAGGACAGAACTGGGATCAGGCTGAGATGGATAAATTGAGAGAAGTAGGCTTCAGAAGGTGGGTAATAATCAGCTTCGGTGAGGTAATGAAGCATGTTCTAAGCCAATGCAAAGAAGCTAAGAACCACGAAAAACATTACAGGAGCTGTTAACCCGAATAACCAGTTTAGAGAGGAACATAAATGACCTGATGCAACTGAATAACACAACATGAGAACTTCACAATGTAATCACAAGTATCAATAACTGAGTAGATCAAGCAGGGAGAAGAATTTCAGAGCTTGAAGGCTATCTTGCTGAAATAAGGCAGATAAGATTGAAAAAATAAAAATAAAAAGGAATGAAAAAATCTCTGAGAACTGTTGGATTATGTAAAAAGACCACTTACAACTGATTGCAGTACTCTAAAGAGATGGAAAGAATGTAACCAAGTTGGAAAACATACTTCAGGATATCATCCAGAAGAACTTTTCCAACCTAAAAAGACAGGCCAACATTCAAATTCAGAAAATCCAGAGAACCCCAGTAAGATACTCCATGAGAAGATCAACCTCAAGACACATAATTATCAGATTCTTCAAGGTTAGACTTCAGGAAAAAATGGTAAGAGCAGCCAAAGGGAAGGCCAGGTCACCTACTATAAAATGGACCTCTAAGAAGACACCCTACAAGCCAGGGTGTCAATTGGGGGCCAATATTCAGCATTCTTAAAAGAATGAATTTCTAACCCAGAATACCCAGTAAAAGTAAGCTTCATAAGTGAAGGAGAAATGAAATCATTTTCAGACAAACAAATGCTGAAGGAATTCATCACCACTAGACCTGCCTTGCAAGAGCTCCTGAAAGAAGCACTAAATATGAAAAGAAGAAACCACTACCAGCAAATGCAAAACACACTGAAGTACAAAGACCAATGACATCATGAAACAACTACATCAACAAGTCTGCAAAATAACCAGCTAGCACCATGAGAACAGGATCAAATTCACACATAACAATATTAACCTTAAATTTAAATGGGCTAAATGCCCCAATTAAAAGACACAGAATGGCAAGCTGGTTAGAGTCAAGACCCACTGG